>NC_000007.14:61377788-61528020 GCF_000001405.40 Homo sapiens
AGTGTTCTCAGAAACTTCATTTTGATGGGTGCATTCAACTAACAAGGTACAACCTTACTTTTATTGAGCAGTTTTGAAACAGTCTTTTTGTAGACTCTGCAAGTGGATATTTGGAGCGCTTTGAAGACTTCGTTGGAAACGGGAATATCTTCCCCTTGAAACTAGACAGAAGCATTCTCAGAAACTACTTTGTGATGTGGGCATTGAACTCACGGAGCTGAACCTTCCTTTGGATTGAGCAGTTTAGAAAAACTCTTCCTTTATAATCTGCAGGTGGATATTTGGAGTGCTTTGAAGCCTTCTTTGGAAACGGGAGTATCGTCACATAAAAATAGACAGAAGTATTCTCAGAGACTTCTTTGTGATTTGTGCATTCAACTCACAGAGTTGAAGCTTCTTTTTGACAGAGCAGTTTTGAAACACCCTTTTTGCACAATCTGCAGGAGGATATTTGGAGCTCTTTGAATGCTACATTGGAAACGGGAATATCGTCACCGAAAAACTAGAAAGAAGCATTCTCTGAAACCACTTTGTGATGTGTGCATTCATCTCACAGAGTTGAACCTTCCTTTTGATAGAGCAGTTTTGAAACCCTGTTTTTGTACAATCTGCAAGTGGATATTTGGAGCAAATTGAAGCCTTCTTTGGAAATGGGAATATCTTAAAATGTAAAATTAGGCAGAAGCATTCTCAGAAACTACTTTTGATGTGTGCATTCAACTCACAGAATTGAACCTTCCTTTTGATGGAGCAGTTTTGAAACACTCTTTTTTTAGAATCTGCAAGCGGATATTTGGAGCACATGTATGCCTACGGTAGAAAAGGAAATATCTTCACATAAAAACTAGACAGAAGCATTCTCAGAAACGCATTTGTGATGTGTGCATTCTACTCCCATAGTTGAAAATTTCTTTTGATAGAGCAGTCTGGAAACACTCTGTTTGTAAAATCTGCAAATGGACATTTGGAGCGCTTTGAAGGTTATGGTGGAGAAGGGAATATCTTCGCATTAAAACTAGACAGAAGCATCCTCAGAAACTTCTTTGTGATGTGTGCATTCAACTCCCAGGTTGAACCTTTCTTTTGTTAGAGCAGTTTTGAAACACTCCTTTTTTTAGAATCTGCAGGCGGATACTTAAGTACTCTTTGAAGCATTCTTTGGAAACGAGAACATCTTCACATAAAACCTAGACAGAAGCATTCTCAGAAACGTCTTTGTGATGTGTCCATTCAACTCACAGGGTTGATAGAACAGTTTTGATAGAGCATTTCTGAAACACTCTTTTTGAAGAATCTGCCAGTTCATATTTGCCGTGCTTTGAGGCTTATGGTAGAAAAGGAAATATCTTCCTATAAAAACTAGACAGAAGCATTCTCAGAAACGACTTTGTGATGTGTGCATTCTACACACAAAGTTGAAACTTTCTTTTGATAGAGCAGTTTTGAAACAGTCTTTCCCAAGAATCTTCAAGTGGGCATTTCGAGCGCTTTGAGGACCATTGCGGATAAGGAAATATCTTCCCATAAGAAGTAGACAGAAGTATAATCAGAAACTTCATTTTGATGTGTACATTCAACTCACAAAGCAGACCCTTACTTTTGATAGAGAAGTTTTGAAACACTCTTCTTGTAGAATCTGCAATTGCATATTTGGAGCGCTTTCAGGCCTCTGGTAGAAAAGGAAGTATCTTCACGTAAAAACTAGACAGAAGCATTCTCAGAAACGACTTTGTGATGTGTGTATTCTACTCCCATAGTTGAACATTTCTTTTGATAGAGCCGCCTGGAAACAATCTTCTTGTAGAATCTGCAAGTGGACATTTGGAGCGCTTCGAAGGCTGTGGTTGAAAAGGTAATATCTTCACCTAAAAACTAAATGGAAGCATTCTCAGAAACTTTCTGTGATGTGTGCGTTCAACTCACAGAGCTGAACCTTCCTTTTCATAGACCAGTTTTGAATCACTCTTTTTGTAGGATCCGCATTTAGATATTTGGAGCGTTTTGAAGACTTCATTGGAATCGCGAATATCTTCACATAAAAACTAGACAGAAGCATTCTCAGAAACTTCTTTGAGATGTGTGCATTCAACTCACGGAGCTGAACCTTTCTTTTGATAGTGCAGTTTTGAAACATTCTTTTTAAAAAATCTGCAGTTGGACATTTGAAGCTCTTTTAGGCTATCGGTTGAAAAGGAAATATCTTCACATTAAAACAAGACGGAAGCATTCTCAGAAACTCCTTTATGATGTCTGCATTCAACTCAAAGAGTTGAACCTTCCTTTTGATAGAGCAGTTTTGAAACACTCTTTCTGTAGAATCTGGAGGCGGATATTAGGGTGCTTTGAAGCCTTCTTGGGAAGCAGGATTATCTTCACATAAAAATTAGACAGAAGCATTCTCAGAAACTTCTTTGTGATGTGTGCATTCAACTCACAGCGTTGAAACTTCCTTTTGCCAGAGCAGTTTTGAAACCCTCTTTTTGAAGAATCTGAAAGTGCATAATTGCAGCACTTTGAGGCTTAAGGTCGAAAAGGAAATATCTTCATATAAAAACTAGACAGAAGCATTCTCAGAAACTACTTTGTGATGTGTGCATTCTACTCACATAGTTGAAATTTCCTTCTGATACTGCAGTTTTGAAACAGTCTTTTTGAGGGATCTTCAAGTGGGCATTTTGAGGGCTTTCGGGACTATTGTGGATAAGGAAATATCTTCACATGAAAAGTAGACAGAAGTGTTCTCAGAAACTTCATTTTGATGGGTGCATTCAACTAACAAAGTACAACCTTACTTTTATAGAGCAGTTTTGAAACAGTCTTTTTGTAGACTCTGCAAGTGGATATTTGGAGCGCTTTGAAGCCTTCGTTGGAAACGGGAATATCTTCCCCTTGAAACCAGACAGAAGCATTCTCAGAAACTTCTTTGTGATGTGGGCATTGAACTCACGGAGCTGAACCTTCCTTTGGATTGAGCA
Organism: Homo sapiens; assembly: GCF_000001405.40. NCBI lineage: Eukaryota > Metazoa > Chordata > Mammalia > Primates > Hominidae > Homo > Homo sapiens. The sequence goes on from NC_000007.14 coordinate 61,380,764, forward strand.
GTTTAGAAAAACTCTTTCTTCATAATCTGCAGGTGGATATTTGGAGTGCTTTGAAGCCTTCTTTGGAAACGGGAGTATCGTCACATAAAAATAGACAGAAGTATTCCCAGAAACTTCTTTGTGATTTGTGCATTCAACTCACAGAGTTGAAGCTTCTTTTTGATAGAGCAGTTTTGAAACACCCTTTTTGCACAATCTGCAGGAGGATATTTGGAGCTCTTTGAGTGCTACATTGGAAACGGGAATATCGTCACCTGAAAACTAGAAACAAGCATTCTCTGAAACCACTTTGAGATGTGTGCATTCATCTCACAGAGTTGAACCTTCCTTTTGATAGAGCAGTTTTGAAACCCTCTTTTTGTACAATCTGCAAGTGGATATTTGGAGCAAATTGAAGCCTTCTTTGGAAATGGGAATATCTTAAAATTAAAAATTAGGCAGAAGCATTCTCAGAAACTACTTTGTGATGTGTGCATTCAACTCACAGAATTGAACCTTCCTTTTGATAGAGCAGTTTTGAAACACTCTTTTTTTAGAATCTGCCAGTGGATATTTGGAGCACATTTATGCCTATGGTAGAAAAGGAAATATCTTCACATAAAAACTAGACAGAAGCATTCCCAGAAACGAATTTGTGATGTGTGCATTCTACTCCCATAGTTGAAAATTTCTTTTGGTAGAGCAGTCTGGAAACACTCTGTTTGTAAAATCTGCAAATGGACATTTGGAGCGCTTTGAAGGTTATGGTGGAAGAGGGAATATATTCGCCTTAAAACTAGACAGAAGCATTCTCAGAAACTTCTTTGTGATGTGTGCATTCAACTCCCAGGTTGAACCTTTCTTTTGTTAGAGCAGTTTTGAAACACTCCTTTTGTAGAATCTGCAGGCGGATATTTAAGTACTATTTGAAGCATTCTTTGGAAACGAGAATATCTTCACCTAAAACCTAGACAGAAGCATTCTCAGAAATGTCTTTGTGATGTGTCCACTCAACTCACAGAGTTGATAGAACAGTTTTGATAGAGCAGTTTTGAAACACTCTTTTTGAAGAATCAGCCAGTTCATATGTGCAGTGCTTTGAGGCTTATGGTAGAAAAGGAAATATCTTCCTATAAAAACTAGACAGAAGCATTCTCAGAAACGACTTTGTGATGTGTGCATTCTACACACAAAGTTGAAACTTTCTTTTGATAGAGCAGTTTGAAACCGTCTTTCCGAAGAATCATCAAGTGGGCATTTCCAGGGCTTTGAGGACCATTGCGGATAAGGAAATATCTTCCCATAAGAAGTAGACAGAACTATAATCAGAAACTTCATTTTGATGTGTACATTCAACTCACAAAGCAGACCCTTACTTTTGATAGAGAAGTTTTGAAACACTCTTTTTGTAGAATCTGCAATTGGATGTTTGGAGCGCTTTCAGGCCTTCTGGTAGAAAAGGAAATATCTTCACATAAAAACTAGACAGAAGCATTCTCAGAAACGACTTTGTGATGTGTGTATTCTACTCCCATAGTTGAACATTTCTTTTGATAGAGCCGCCTGGAAACAATCTTCTTGTAGAATCTGCAAGTGGACATTTGGAGCGTTTTGAAGGCTGTGGTTGAAAAGGTAATATCTTCACCTAAAAACTAAATGGAAGCATTCTCCGAAACTTTTTGTGATGTGTGCGTTCAACTCACAGAGCTGAACCTTCCTTTTCTTAGACCAGTTTTGAATCACTCTTTTTGTAGAATCCGCATTCAGATATTTGGAGCGCTTTGAAGACTTCATTGGAATCGCGAATACCTTCACATAAAAACTAGACAGAACCATTCTCAGAAACTTCTTTGAGATGTGTGCATTCAACTCACAGAGCTGAACCTTTCTTTTGATAGTGCAGTTTTGAAGCATTCTTTTTAAAAAATCTGCAGTTGGACATTTGGAGCTCTTTTAGGCTATCGGTTGAAAAGGAAATATCTTCACATTAAAACAAGACAGAAGCATTCTCAGAAACTCCTTTATGATGTCTGCATTCAACTCACAGAGTTGAACCTTCCTTTTGATAGAGCAGTTTTAAAACACTCTTTCTGTAGAATCTGGAGGCGGATATTAGGGTGCTTTGAAGCCTTCTTGGGAAACAGGATTATCTTCACATAAAAATTAGACAGAAGCATTCTCAGAAACTTCTTTGTGATGTGTGCATTCAACTCACAGCGTTGAAACTTCCTTTTGCTAGAGCAGTTTTGAAACCCTCTTTTTGAAGAATCTGAAAGTGCATAATTGCAGCACTTTGAGGCTTAAGGTAGAAAAGGAAATATCTTCATATAAAAACTAGACAGAAGCATTCTCAGAAACTACTTTGTGATGTGTGCATTCTACTCACATAGTTGAAATTTCCTTCTGATACTGCAGTTTTGAAACCGTCTTTTTGAGGAATCTTCGAGTGGGCATTTTGAGGGCTTTGGGGACTATTGTGGATAAGGAAATATCTTCACATGAATAGTAGACAGAAGTGTTCTCAGAAACTTCATTTTGATGGGTGCATTCAAGTAACAAAGTACAACCTAACTTTTATAGAGCAGTTGTGAAACAGTCTTTTTGTAGACTCTGCAAGTGGATATTTGGAGCGCTTTGAAGCCTTCGTTGGAAACGGGAATATCTTCCCATTGAAACTAGACAGAAGCATTCTCAGAAACTTCTTTGTGATGTGGGCATTGAACTCACGGAGCTGAACCTTCCTTTGGATTGAGCAGTTTAGAAAAACTCTTCCTTTATAATCTGCAGGTGGATATTTGGAGTGCTTTGAAGCCTTCTTTGGAAACGGGAGTATCGTCACATAAAAATAGACAGAAGTATTCCCAGAAACTTCTTTGTGATTTGTGCATTCAACTCACAGAGTTGAAGCTTCTTTTTGATAGAGCAGTTTTGAAACACCCTTTTTGCACAATCTGCAGGAGGATATTTGGAGCTCTTTGAGTGCTACATTGGAAACGGGAATATCGTCACCTGAAAACTAGAAACAAGCATTCTCTGAAACCACTTTGTGATGTGTGCATTCATCTCACAGAGTTGAACCTTCCTTTTGATAGAGCAGTTTTGAAACCCTCTTTTTGTACAATCTGCAAGTGGATATTTGGAGCAAATTGAAGCCTTCTTTGGAAATGGGAATATCTTAAAATTAAAAATTAGGCAGAAGCATTCTCAGAAACTACTTTGTGATGTGTGCATTCAACTCACAGAATTGAACCTTCCTTTTGATAGAGCAGTTTTGAAACACTCTTTCTTTAGAATCTGCCAGTGGATATTTGGAGCACATTTATGCCTATGGTAGAAAAGGAAATATCTTCACATAAAAACTAGACAGAAGCATTCTCAGAAACGAATTTCTGATGTGTGCATTCTACTCCCATAGTTGAAAATTTCTTTTGGTAGAGCAGTCTGGAAACACTCTGTTTGTAATATCTGCAAATGGACATTTGGAGCGCTTTGAAGGTTATGGTGGAGGAGGGAATATCTTCGCATTAAAACTAGACAGAAGCATTCTCAGAAACTTCTTTGTGATGTGTGCATTCAACTCCCAGGTTGAACCTTTCTTTTGTTAGAGCAGTTTTGAAACACTCCTTTTGTAGAATCTGCAGGCGGATATTTAAGTACTCTTTGAAGCATTCTTTGGAAACGAGAATATCTTCACCTAAAACCTAGACAGAAGCATTCTCAGAAACTTCTTTGTGATGTGTCCACTCAACTCACAGAGTTGATAGAACAGTTTTGATAGAGCAGTTTTGAAACACTCTTTTTGAAGAATCTGCCAGTTCATATGTGCAGTGCTTTGAGGCTTATGGTAGAAAAGGAAATATCTTCCTATAAAAACTAGACAGAAGCATTCTCAGAAACGACTTTGTGATGTGTGCATTCTACACACAAAGTTGAAACTTTCTTTTGATAGAGCAGTTTTGAAACAGTCTTTCCGAAGAATCTTCAAGTGGGCATTTCGAGGGCTTTGAGGACCATTGCGGATAAGGAAATATCTTCCCATAAGAAGTAGACAGAAGTATAATCAGAAACTTCATTTTGATGTGTACATTCAACTCACAAAGCAGACCCTTACTTTTGATAGAGAAGTTTTGAAACACTCTTTTTGTAGAATCTGCAATTGGATATTTGGAGCGCTTTCAGGCCTGCTGGTAGAAAAGGAAATATCTTCACATAAAAACTAGACAGAAGCATTCCCAGAAACGACTTTGTGATGTGTGTATTCTACTCCCATAGTTGAACATTTCTTTTGATAGAGCCGCCTGGAAACAATCTTCTTGTAGAATCTGCAAGTGGACATTTGGAGCGTTTTGAAGGCTGTGGTTGAAAAGGTAATATCTTCACCTAAAAACTAAATGGAAGCATTGTCCGAAACTTTTTGTGATGTGTGCGTTCAACTCACAGAGCTGAACCTTCCTTTTCTTAGACCAGTTTTGAATCACTCTTTTTGTAGAATCCGCATTTAGATATTTGGAGCGCTTTGAAGACTTCATTGGAATCGCGAATACCTTCACATAAAAACTAGACAGAACCATTCTCAGAAACTCCTTTGAGATGTGTGCATTCAACTCACAGAGCTGAACCTTTCTTTTGATAGTGCAGTTTTGAAACATTCTTTTTAAAAAATCTGCAGTTGGACATTTGGAGCTCTTTTAGGCTATCGGTTGAAAAGGAAGTATCTTCACATTAAAACAAGACAGAAGCATTCTCAGAAACTCCTTTATGATGTCTGCATTCAACTCACAGAGTTGAACCTTCCTTTTGATAGAGCAGTTTTGAAACACTCTTTCTGTAGAATCTGGAGGCGGATATTAGGGTGCTTTGAAGCCTTCTTGGGAAACAGGATTATCTTCACATAAAAATTAGACAGAAGCATTCTCAGAAACTTCTTTGTGATGTGTGCATTCAACTCACAGCGTTGAAACTTCCTTTTGCTAGAGCAGTTTTGAAACCCTCTTTTTGAAGAATCTGAAAGTGCATAATTGCAGCACTTTGAGGCTTAATGTAGAAAAGGAAATATCTTCATATAAAAACTAGACAGAAGCATTCTCAGAAACTACTTTGTGATGTGTGCATTCTACTCACATAGTTGAAATTTCCTTCTGATACTGCAGTATTGAAACCGTCTTTTTGAGGAATCTTCCAGTGGGCATTTTGAGGGCTTTGGGGACTATTGTGGATAAGGAAATATCTTCACATGAAAAGTAGACAGAAGTGTTCTCAGAAACTTCATTTTGATGGGTGCATTCAACTAACAAGGTACAACCTTACTTTTATTGAGCAGTTTTGAAACAGTCTTTTTGTAGACTCTGCAAGTGGATATTTGGAGCGCTTTGAAGCCTTCGTTGGAAACGGGAATATCTTCCCCTTGAAACTAGACAGAAGCATTCTCAGAAACTTCTTTGTGATGTGGGCATTGAACTCACGGAGCTGAACCTTCCTTTGGATTGAGCAGTTTAGAAAAACTCTTCCTTTATAATCTGCAGGTGGATATTTGGAGTGCTTTGAAGCCTTCTTTGGAAACGGGAGTATCGTCACATAAAAATAGACAGAAGTATTCCCAGAAACTTCTTTGTGATTTGTGCATTCAACTCACAGAGTTGAAGCTTCTTTTTGATAGAGCAGTTTTGAAACACCCTTTTTGCACAATCTGCAGGAGGATATTTGGAGCTCTTTGAGTGCTACATTGGAAACGGGAATATCGTCACCTGAAAACTAGAAACAAGCATTCTCTGAAACCACTTTGTGATGTGTGCATTCATCTCACAGAGTTGAACCTTCCTTTTGATAGAGCAGTTTTGAAACCCTCTTTTTGTACAATCTGCAAGTGGATATTTGGAGCAAATTGAAGCCTTCTTTGGAAATGGGAATATCTTAAAATTAAAAATTAGGCAGAAGCATTCTCAGGAAACTACTTTGTGATGTGTGCATTCAACTCACAGAATTGAACCTTCCTTTTGATAGAGCAGTTTTGAAACACTCTTTTTTTAGAATCTGCCAGTGGATATTTGGAGCACGTTTATGCCTATGGTAGAAAAGGAAATATCTTCACATAAAAACTAGACAGAAGCATTCTCAGAAACGAATTTGTGTTGTGTGCATTCTACTCCCATAGTTGAAAATTTCTTCTGATAGAGCAGTCTGGAACCACTCTGTTTCTAAAATCTGCAAATGGACATTTGGAGCGCTTTGAAGGTTATGATGGAAAAGGGAATATCTTCGCATTAAAACTAGACAGAAGCATTCTCAGAAACTTCTTTGTGATGTGTGCATTCAACTCCCAGGTTGAAACTTTCTTTTGTTAGAGCAGTTTTGAAACACTCCTTTTGTAGAATCTGCAGGCGGATATTTAAGTACTCTTTGAAGCATTCTTTGGAAACTAGAATATCTTCGCCTAAAACCTAGACAGAAGCATTCTCAGAAACATCTTTGTGATGTGTCCATTCATCTCACAGAGTTGATAGAACAGTTTTGATAGAGCAGTTTTGAAACACTCTTTTTAAAGAATCTGCCAGTTCATATGTGCAGTGCTTTGAGGCTTATGGTAGAAAAGGAAATATCTTCATATCAAAACTAGACAGAAGCATTCTCAGAAACGACTTTGTGATGTGTGCATTCTACACACAAAGTTGAAACTTTCTTTTGATAGAGCAGTTTTGAAACAGTCTTTCCGAAGAATCTTCAAGTGGGCATTTCGAGGGCTTTGAGGACCATTGCGGATAAGGAAATATCTTCCCATAAGAAGTAGACAGAAGTATAATCAGAAACTTCATTTTGATGTGTACATTCAACTCACAAAGCAGACCCTTACTTTTGATAGAGAAGCTTTGAAACACTCTTTTTGTAGAATCTGCAATTGGATATTTGGAGCGCTTTCAGGCCTCTGGTAGAAAAGGAAATATCTTCACATAAAAACTAGACAGAAGCATTTTCAGAAACGACTTTGTGATGTATGTATTCTACTCCCATAGTTGAACATTTCTTTTGATAGAGCCGCCTGGAAACAATCTTCTTGTAGAATCTGCAAGTGGACATTTGGAGCGTTTTGAAGACTGTGGTTGAAAAGGTAATATCTTCACCTAAAAACTAAATGGAAGCATTGTCCGAAACTTTTTGTGATGTGTGCGTTCAACTCACAGAGCTGAACCTTCCTTTTCTTAGACCAGTTTTGAATCACTCTTTTTGTAGAATCCGCATTTAGATATTTGGAGCGCTTTGAAGACTTCATTGGAATCGCGAATACCTTCACATAAAAACTAGACAGAACCATTCTCAGAAACTCCTTTGAGATGTGTGCATTCAACTCACAGAGCTGAACCTTTCTTTTGATAGTGCAGTTTTGAAACATTCTTTTTAAAAAATCTGCAGTTGGACATTTGGAGCTCTTTTAGGCTATCGGTTGAAAAGGAAGTATCTTCACATTAAAACAAGACAGAAGCATTCTCAGAAACTCCTTTATGATGTCTGCATTCAACTCACAGAGTTGAACCTTCCTTTTGATAGAGCAGTTTTGAAACACTCTTTCTGTAGAATCTGGAGGCGGATATTAGGGTGCTTTGAAGCCTTCTTGGGAAACAGGATTATCTTCACATAAAAATTAGACAGAAGCATTCTCAGAAACTTCTTTGTGATGTGTGCATTCAACTCACAGCGTTGAAACTTCCTTTTGCCAGAGCAGTTTTGAAACCCTCTTTTTGAAGAATCTGAAAGTGCATAATTGCAGCACTTTGAGGCTTAAGGTCGAAAAGGAAATATCTTCATATAAAAACTAGACAGAAGCATTCTCAGAAACTACTTTGTGATGTGTGCATTCTACTCACATAGTTGAAATTTCCTTCTGATACTGCAGTATTGAAACCGTCTTTTTGAGGAATCTTCGAGTGGGCATTTTGATGGCTTTGGGGACTATCGTGGATAAGGAAATATCTTCACATGAAAAGTAGACAGAAGTGTTCTCAGAAACTTCATTTTGATGGGTGCATTCCACTAACAAAGTACAACCTTACTTTTATAGAGCAGTTTTGAAACAGTCTTTTTGTAGACTCTGCAAGTGGATATTTGGAGCGCTTTGAAGCCTTCGTTGGAAACGGGAATATCTTCCCATTGAAACTAGACAGAAGCATTCTCAGAAACTTCTTTGTGATGTGGGCATTGAACTCACGGAGCTGAACCTTCCTTTGGATTGAGCAGTTTTGAAAAACTCTTCCTTTATTATCTGCAGGTGGATATTTGGAGTGCTTTGAAGCCTTCTTTGGAAACGGGAGTATCGTCACATAAAAATAGACAGAAGTATTCCCAGAAACTTCTTTGTGATTTGTGCATTCAACTCACAGAGTTGAAGCTTCTTTTTGATAGAGCAGTTTTGAAACACCCTTTTTGCACAATCTGCAGGAGGATATTTGGAGCTCTTTGAGTGCTACATTGGAAACGGGAATATCGTCACCTAAAAACTAGAAAGAAGCATTCTCTGAAACCACTTTGTGATGTGTGCATTCATCTCACAGAGTTGAACCTTCCTTTTGATAGAGCAGTTTTGAAACCCTCTTTTTGTACAATCTGCAAGTGGATATTTGGAGCAAATTGAAGCCTTCTTTCGAAATTGGAATATCTTAAATCTAAAAATTAGGCAGAAGCATTCTCAGAAACTACTTTGTGATGTGTGCATTCAACTCACAGAATTGAACCTTCCTTTTGATACAGCAGTTTTGAAACACTCTTTGTTTAGAATCTGCAAGTGGATATTTGGAGCACATTTATGCCTGTGGTAGAAAAGGAAATATCTTCACATAAAAACTAGACGGAAGCATTCTCAGAAACGAATTTGTGTTGTGTGCATTCTACTCCCATAGTTGAAAATTTCTTTTGATAGAGCAGTCTGGAAACACTCTGTTTCTAAAATTTGCAAATGGACATTTGGAGCGCTTTGAAGGTTATGATGGAAAAGGGAATATCTTCGCATTAAAACTAGACAGAAGCATTCTCAGAAACTTCTTTGTGATGTGTGCATTCAACTCCCAGGTTGAACCTTTCTTTTGTTAGAGCAGTTTTGAAACACTCCTTTTGTAGAATCTGCAGGCGGATATTTAAGTACTCTTTGAAGCATTCTTTGGAAACGAGAATATCTTCACCGAAAACCCAGACAGAGGCATTTTCAGAAACATCTTTGTGATGTGTCCATTCATCTCACAGAGTTGATAGAACAGTTTTGATAGAGCAGTTTTGAAACACTCTTTTTAAAGAATCTGCCAGTTCATATGTGCAGTGCTTTGAGGCTTATGGTAGAAAAGGAAATATCTTCATATAAAAACTAGACAGAAGCATTCTCAGAAACGACTTTGTGATGTGTGCATTCTACACACAAAGTTGAAACTTTCTTTTGATAGAGCAGTTTTGAAACCGTCTTTCCGAAGAATCTTCAAGTGGGCATTTCGAGGGCTTTGAGGACCATTGCGGATAAGGAAATATCTTCCCATAAGAAGTAGACAGAAGTATAATCAGAAACTTCATTTTGATGTGTACATTCAACTCACAAAGCAGACCCTTACTTTTGATAGAGAAGTTTTGAAACACTCTTTTTGTAGAATCTGCAATTGGATATTTGGAGCGCTTTCAGGCCTCTGGTAGAAAAGGAAATATCTTCACATAAAAACTAGACAGAAGCATTCTCAGAAACGACTTTGTGATGTGTGTATTCTACTCCCATAGTTGAACATTTCTTTTGATAGAGCCGCCTGGAAACAATCTTCTTGTAGAATCTGCAAGTGGACATTTGGAGCGGTTCGAAGGCTGTGGTTGAAAAGGTAATGTCTTCACCTAAAAACTAAATGGAAGCATTCTCCGAAAGTTTTGTGATGTGTGCGTTCAACTCACAGAGCTGAACCTTCCTTTTCTTAGACCAGTTTTGAATCACTCTTTTTGTAGAATCCGCATTTAGATATTTGGAGCGCTTTGAAGACTTCATTGGAATCGCGAATATCTTCACATAAAAACTAGACAGAAACCATTCTCAGAAACTCCTTTGAGATGTGTGCATTCAACTCACAGAGCTGAACCTTTCTTTTGATAGTGCAGTTTTGAAACATTCTTTTTAAAAAATCTGCAGTTGGACATTTGGAGCTCTTTTAGGCTATCGGTTGAAAAGGAAGTATCTTCACATTAAAACAAGACAGAAGCATTCTCAGAAACTCCTTTATGATGTCTGCATTCAACTCACAGAGTTGAACCTTCCTTTTGATAGAGCAGTTTTGAAACACTCTTTCTGTAGAATCTGGAGGCGGATATTAGGGTGCTTTGAAGCCTTCTTGGGAAACAGGATTATCTTCACATAAAAATTAGACAGAAGCATTCTCAGAAACTTCTTTGTGATGTGTGCATTCAACTCACAGCGTTGAAACTTCCTTTTGCCAGAGCAGTTTTGAAACCCTCTTTTTGAAGAATCTGAAAGTGCATAATTGCAGCACTTTGAGGCTTAAGGTCGAAAAGGAAATATCTTCATATAAAAACTAGACAGAAGCATTCTCAGAAACTACTTTGTGATGTGTGCATTCTACTCACATAGTTGAAATTTCCTTCTGATACTGCAGTTTTGAAACAGTCTTTTTGAGGGATCTTCAAGTGGGCATTTTGAGGGCTTTGGGGACTATTGTGGATAAGGAAATATCTTCACATGAAAAGTAGACAGAAGTGTTCTCAGAAACTTCATTTTGATGGGTGCATTCCACTAACAAAGTACAACCTTACTTTTATAGAGCAGTTTTGAAACAGTCTTTTTGTAGACTCTGCAAGTGGATATTTGGAGCGCTTTGAAGCCTTCGTTGGAAACGGGAATATCTTCCCCTTGAAACTAGACAGAAGCATTCTCAGAAACTTCTTTGTGATGTGGGCATTGAACTCACGGAGCTGAAACTTCCTTTGGATTGAGCAGTTTTGAAAAACTCTTCCTTTATAATCTGCAGGTGGATATTTGGAGTGCTTTGAAGCCTTCTTTGGAAACGGGAGTATCGTCACATAAAAATAGACAGAAGTATTCCCAGAAACTTCTTTGTGATTTGTGCATTCAACTCACAGAGTTGAAGCTTCTTTTTGATAGAGCAGTTTTGAAACACCCTTTTTGCACAATCTGCAGGAGGATATTTGGAGCTCTTTGAGTGCTACATTGGAAACGGGAATATCGTCACCTAAAAACTAGAAAGAAGCATTCTCTGAAACCACTTTGTGATGTGTGCATTCATCTCACAGAGTTGAAACTTCCTTTTGATAGAGCAGTTTTGAAACCCTCTTTTTGTACAATCTGCAAGTGGATATTTGGAGCAAATTGAAGCCTTCTTTGGAAATTGGAATATCTTAAATCTAAAAATTAGGCAGAAGCATTCTCAGAAACTACTTTGTGATGTGTGCATTGAACTCACAGAATTGAACCTTCCTTTTGATACAGCAGTTTTGAAACACTCTTTGTTTAGAATCTGCAAGTGGATATTTGGAGCACATTTATGCCGGTGGTAGAAAAGGAAATATCTTCACATAAAAACTAGACAGAAGCATTCTCAGAAACGAATTTGTGTTGTGTGCATTCTACTCCCATAGTTGAAAATTTCTTTTGATAGAGCAGTCTGGAACCACTCTGTTTCTAAAATCTGCAAATGGACATTTGGAGCGCTTTGAAGGTTATGATGGAAAAGGGAATATCTTCGCATTAAAACTAGACAGAAGCATTCTCAGAAACTTCTTTGTGATGTGTGCATTCAACTCCCAGGTTGAACCTTTCTTTTGTTAGAGCAGTTTTGAAACACTCCTTTTGTAGAATCTGCAGGCGGATATTTAAGTACTCTTTGAAGCATTCTTTGGAAACGAGAATATCTTCACCTAAAACCTAGACAGAAGCATTCTCAGAAACATCTTTGTGATGTGTCCATTCATCTCACAGAGTTGATAGAACAGTTTTGATAGAGCAGTTTTGAAACACTCTTTTTAAAGAATCTGCCAGTTCATATGTGCAGTGCTTTGAGGCTTATGGTAGAAAAGGAAATATCTTCATATAAAAACTAGACAGAAGCATTCTCAGAAACGACTTTGTGATGTGTGCATTCTACACACAAAGTTGAAACTTTCTTTTGATAGAGCAGTTTTGAAACCGTCTTTCCGAAGAATCTTCAAGTGGGCATTTCGAGGGCTTTGAGGACCATTGCGGATAAGGAAATATCTTCCCATAAGAAGTAGACAGAAGTATAATCAGAAACTTCATTTTGATGTGTACATTCAACTCACAAAGCAGACCCTTACTTTTGATAGAGAAGTTTTGAAACAGTCTTTTTGTAGAATCTGCAATTGGATATTTGGAGCGCTTTCAGGCCTCTGGTAGAAAAGGAAATATCTTCACATAAAAACTAGACAGAAGCATTCTCAGAAACGACTTTGTGATGTGTGTATTCTACTCCCATAGTTGAACATTTCTTTTGATAGAGCCGCCTGGAAACAATCTTCTTGTAGAATCTGCAAGTGGACATTTGGAGCGTTTCGAAGGCTGTTGTTGAAAAGGTAATATCTTCACCTAAAAACTAAATGGAAGCATTGTCCGAAACTTTTTGTGATGTGTGCGTTCAACTCACAGAGCTGAACCTTCCTTTTCATAGACCAGTTTTGAATCACTCTTTTTGTAGAATCCGCATTTAGATATTTGGAGCGCTTTGAAGACTTCATTGGAATCGCGAATACCTTCACATAAAAACTAGACAGAACCATTCTCAGAAACTTCTTTGTGATGTGTGCATTCAACTCACAGAGCTGAACCTTTCTTTTGATAGTGCAGTTTTGAAACATTCTTTTTAAAATATCTGCAGTTGGACATTTGGAGCTCTTTTAGGCTATCGGTTGAAAAGGAAGTATCTTCACATTAAAACAAGACAGAAGCATTCTCAGAAACTTCTTTATGATGTCTGCATTCAACTCACAGAGTTGAACCTTCCTTTCCATAGAGCAGTTTTGAAACACTCTTTCTGTAGAATCTGGAGGCGGATATTAGGGTGCTTTGAAGCCTTCTTGGGAAACAGGATTATCTTCACATAAAAATTAGACAGAAGCATTCTCAGAAACTTCTTTGTGATGTGTGCATTCAACTCACAGCGTTGAAACTTCCTTTTGCCAGAGCAGTTTTGAAACCCTCTTTTTGAAGAATCTGAAAGTGCATAATTGCAGCACTTTGAGGCTTAAGGTCGAAAAGGAAATATCTTCATATAAAAACTAGACAGAAGCATTCTCAGAAACTACTTTGTGATGTGTGCATTCTACTCACATAGTTGAAATTTCCTTCTGATACTGCAGTTTTGAAACAGTCTTTTTGAGGGATCTTCAAGTGGGCATTTTGAGGGCTTTGGGGACTATTGTGGATAAGGAAATATCTTCACATGAAAAGTAGACAGAAGTGTTCTCAGAAACTTCATTTTGATGGGTGCTTTCAACTAACAAAGTACAACCTTACTTTTATAGAGCAGTTTTGAAACAGTCTTTTTGTAGACTCTGCAAGCGGATATTTGGAGCACTTTGAAGCCTTCGTTGGAAACGGGAATATCTTCCCCTTGAAACCACACAGAAGCATTCTCAGAAACTTCTTTGTGATGTGGGCATTGAACTCACGGAGCTGAACCTTCCTTTGGATTGAGCAGTTTTGAAAAACTCTTCCTTTATAATCTGCAGGTGGATATTTGGAGTGCTTTGAAGCCTTCTTTGGAAACGGGAGTATCGTCACATAAAAATAGACAGAAGTATTCCCAGAAACTTCTTTGTGATTTGTGCATTCAACTCACAGAGTTGAAGCTTCTTTTTGATAGAGCAGTTTTGAAACACCCTTTTTGCACAATCTGCAGGAGGATATTTGGAGCTCTTTGAGTGCTACATTGGAAACGGGAATATCGTCACCTAAAAACTAGAAAGAAGCATTCTCTGAAACCACTTTGTGATGTGTGCATTCATCTCACAGAGTTGAACCTTCCTTTTGATAGAGCAGTTTTGAAACCCTCTTTTTGTACAATCTGCAAGTGGATATTTGGAGCAAATTGAAGCCTTCTTTGGAAATGGGAATATCTTAAATCTAAAAATTAGGCAGAAGCATTCTCAGAAACTGCTTTGTGATGCGTGCATTCAACTCACAGAATTGAACCTTCCTTTTGATACAGCAGTTTTGAAACACTCTTTTTTCAGAATCTGCAAGTGGATATTTGGAGCACATTTATGCCTGTGGTAGAAAAGGAAATATCTTCACATAAAAACTAGACAGAAGCATTCTCAGAAACGAATTTGTGTTGTGTGCATTCTACTCCCATAGTTGAAAATTTCTTTTGATAGAGCAGTCTGGAAACACTCTGTTTCTAAAATCTGCAAATGGACATTTGGAGCGCTTTGAAGGTTATGATGGAAAAGGGAATATCTTCGCATTAAAACTAGACAGAAGCATTCTCAGAAACTTCTTTGTGATGTGTGCATTCAACTCCCAGGTTGAACCTTTCTTTTGTTAGAGCAGTTTTGAAACACTCCTTTTGTAGAATCTGCAGGCGGATATTTAAGTACTCTTTGAAGCATTCTTTGGAAACGAGAATATCTTCACCTAAAACCTAGACAGAAGCATTCTCAGAAACATCTTTGTGATGTGTCCATTCATCTCACAGAGTTGATAGAACAGTTTTGATAGAGCAGTTTTGAAACACTCTTTTTAAAGGATCTGCCAGTTCATATGTGCAGTGCTTTGAGGCTTATGGTAGAAAAGGAAATATCTTCATATAAAAACTAGACAGAAGCATTCTCAGAAACGACTTTGTGATGTGTGCATTCTACACACAAAGTTGAAACTTTCTTTTGATAGAGCAGTTTTGAAACAGTCTTTCCGAAGAATCTTCAAGTGGGCATTTCGAGGGCTTTGAGGACCATTGCGGATAAGGAAATATCTTCCCATAAGAAGTAGACAGAAGTATAATCAGAAACTTCATTTTGATGTGTACATTCAACTCACAAAGCAGACCCTTACTTTTGATAGAGAAGTTTTGAAACACTCTTTTTGTAGAATCTGCAATTGGATGTTTGGAGCGCTTTCAGGCCTCTGGTAGAAAAGGAAATATCTTCACATAAAAACTAGACAGAAGCATTCTCAGAAACGACTTTGTGATGTGTGTATTCTACTCCCATAGTTGAACATTTCTTTTGATAGAGCAGCCTGGAAACAATCTTCTTGTAGAATCTGCAAGTGGACATTTGGAGCGTCTTGAAGGCTGTGGTTGAAAAGGTAATATCTTCACCTAAAAACTAAATGGAAGCATTGTCCGAAACTTTTTGTGATGTGTGCGTTCAACTCACAGAGCTGAACCTTCCTTTTCATAGACCAGTTTTGAATCACTCTTTTTGTAGAATCCGCATTTAGATATTTGGAGCGCTTTGAAGACTTCATTGGAATCGTGAATACCTTCACATAAAAACTAGACAGAAGCATTCTCGGAAACTTCTTTGAGATGTGTGCATTCAACTCACGGAGCTGAACCTTTCTTTTGATAGTGCAGTTTTGAAACATTCTTTTTAAAAAATCTGCAGTTGGACATTTGGAGCTCTTTTAGGCTATCGGTTGAAAAGGAAATATCTTCACATTAAAACAAGACGGAAGCATTCTCAGAAACTCCTTTATGATGTCTGCATTCAACTCACAGAGTTGAACCTTCCTTTTCATAGAGCAGTTTTGAAACACTCTTTCTGTAGAATCTGGAGGCGGATATTAGGGTGCTTTGAAGCCTTCTTGGGAAACAGGATTATCTTCACATAAAAATTAGACAGAAGCATTCTCAGAAACTTCTTTGTGATGTGTGCATTCAACTCACAGCGTTGAAACTTCCTTTTGCCAGAGCAGTTTTGAAACCCTCTTTTTGAAGAATCTGAAAGTGCATAATTGCAGCACTTTGACGCTTAAGGTCGAAAAGGAAATATCTTCATATAAAAACTAGACAGAAGCATTCTCAGAAACTACTTTGTGATGTGTGCATTCTACTCACATAGTTGAAATTTCCTTCTGATACTGCAGTTTTGAAACAGTCTTTTTGAGGGATCTTCAAGTGGGCATTTTGAGGGCTTTGGGGACTATTGTGGATAAGGAAATATCTTCACATGAAAAGTAGACAGAAGTGTTCTCAGAAACTTCATTTTGATGGGTGCATTCCACTAACAAAGTACAACCTTACTTTTATAGAGCAGTTTTGAAACAGTCTTTTTGTAGACTCTGCAAGTGGATAGTTGGAGCGCTTTGAAGCCTTCGTTGGAAACGGGAATATCTTCCCCTTGAAACCAGACAGAAGCATTCTCAGAAACTTCTTTGTGATGTGGGCATTGAACTCACGGAGCTGAACCTTCCTTTGGATTGAGCAGTTTTGAAAAACTCTTCCTTTATAATCTGCAGGTGGATATTTGGAGTGCTTTGAAGCCTTCTTTGGAAACGGGAGTATCGTCACATAAAAATAGACAGAAGTATTCCCAGAAACTTCTTTGTGATTTGTGCATTCAACTCACAGAGTTGAAGCTTCTTTTTGATAGAGCAGTTTTGAAACACCCTTTTTGCACAATCTGCAGGAGGATATTTGGAGCTCTTTGAGTGCTACATTGGAAACGGGAATATCGTCACCTAAAAACTAGAAAGAAGCATTCTCGGAAACCACTTTGTGATGTGTGCATTCATCTCACAGAGTTGAACCTTCCTTTTGATAGAGCAGTTTTGAAACCCTCTTTTTGTACAATCTGCAAGTGGATATTTGGAGCAAATTGAAGCCTTCTTTGGAAATGGGAATATCTTAAATCTAAAAATTAGGCAGAAGCATTCTCAGAAACTACTTTGTGATGTGTGCATTCAACTCACAGAATTGAACCTTCCTTTTGATACAGCAGTTTTGAAACACTCTTTGTTTAGAATCTGCAAGTGGATATTTGGAGCACATTTATGCCTGTGGTAGAAAAGGAAATATCTTCACATAAAAACTAGACAGAAGCATTCTCAGAAACGAATTTGTGTTGTGTGCATTCTACTCCCATAGTTGAAAATTTCTTTTGATAGAGCAGTCTGGAAACACTCTGTTTCTAAAATCTGCAAATGGACATTTGGAGCGCTTTGAAGGTTATGATGGAAAAGGGAATATCTTCGCATTAAAACTAGACAGAAGCATTCTCAGAAACTTCTTTGTGATGTGTGCATTCAACTCCCAGGTTGAACCTTTCTTTTGTTAGAGCAGTTTTGAAACACTCCTTTTGTAGAATCTGCAGGCGGATATTTAAGTACTCTTTGAAGCATTCTTTGGAAACGAGAATATCTTCACCTAAAACCTAGACAGAAGCATTCTCAGAAACATCTTTGTGATGTGTCCATTCATCTCACAGAGTTGATAGAACAGTTTTGATAGAGCAGTTTTGAAACACTCTTTTTAAAGGATCTGCCAGTTCATATGTGCAGTGCTTTGAGGCTTATGGTAGAAAAGGAAATATCTTCATATAAAAACTAGACAGAAGCATTCTCAGAAACGACTTTGTGATGTGTGCATTCTACACACAAAGTTGAAACTTTCTTTTGATAGAGCAGTTTTGATACAGTCTTTCCGAAGAATCTTCAAGTGGGCATTTCGAGGGCTTTGAGGACCATTGCGGATAAGGAAATATCTTCCCATAAGAAGTAGACAGAAGTATAATCAGAAACTTCATTTTGATGTGTACATTCAACTCACAAAGCAGACCCTTACTTTTGATAGAGAAGTTTTGAAACACTCTTTTTGTAGAATCTGCAATTGGATGTTTGGAGCGCTTTCAGGCCTCTGGTAGAAAAGGAAATATCTTCACATAAAAACTAGACAGAAGCATTCTCAGAAACGACTTTGTGATGTGTGTATTCTACTCCCATAGTTGAACATTTCTTTTGATAGAGCCGCCTGGAAACAATCTTCTTGTAGAATCTGCAAGTGGACATTTGGAGCGTTTCGAAGGCTGTGGTTGAAAAGGTAATATCTTCACCTAAAAACTAAATGGAAGCATTGTCCGAAACGTTTTGTGATGTGTGCGTTCAACTCACAGAGCTGAACCTTCCTTTTCATTGACCAGTTTTGAATCACTCTTTTTGTAGAATCCGCATTTAGATATTTGAAGCGCTTTGAAGACTTCATTGGAATCGCGAATCCCTTCACATAAAAACTAGACAGAACCATTCTCAGAAACTTCTTTGAGATGTGTGCATTCAACTCACAGAGCTGAACCTTTCTTTTGATAGTGCAGTTTTGAAACATTCTTTTTAAAAAATCTGCAGTTGGACATTTGGAGCTCTTTTAGGCTATCGGTTGAAAAGGAAATATCTTCACATTTAAACAAGACAGAAGCATTCTCAGAAACTCCTTTATGATGTCTGCATTCAACTCACAGAGTTGAACCTTCCTTTTGATAGAGCAGTTTTGAAACACTCTTTCTGTAGAATCTGGAGGCGGATATTAGGGTGCTTTGAAGCCTTCTTGGGAAACAGGATTATCTTCACATAAAAATTAGACAGAAGCATTCTCAGAAACTTCTTTGTGATGTGTGCATTCAACTCACAGCGTTGAAACTTCCTTTTGCTAGAGCAGTTTTGAAACCCTCTTTTTGAAGAATCTGAAAGTGCATAATTGCAGCACTTTGAGGCTTAAGGTAGAAAAGGAAATATCTTCATATAAAAACTAGACAGAAGCATTCTCAGAAACTACTTTGTGATGTGTGCATTCTACTCACATAGTTGAAATTTCCTTCTGATACTGCAGTATTGAAACCGTCTTTTTGAGGAATCTTCCAGTGGGCATTTTGAGGGCTTTGGGGACTATTGTGGATAAGGAAATATCTTCACATGAAAAGTAGACAGAAGTGTTCTCAGAAACTTCATTTTGATGGGTGCATTCCACTAACAAAGTACAACCTTACTTTTATAGAGCAGTTTTGAAACAGTCTTTTTGTAGACTCTGCAAGTGGATATTTGGAGCGCTTTGAAGCCTTCGTTGGAAACGGGAATATCTTCCCATTGAAACTAGACAGAAGCATTCTCAGAAACTTCTTTGTGATGTGGGCATTGAACTCACGGAGCTGAACCTTCCTTTGGATTGAGCAGTTTTGAAAAACTCTTCCTTTATAATCTGCAGGTGGATATTTGGAGTGCTTTGAATCCTTCTTTGGAAACGGGAGTATCGTCACATAAAAATAGACAGAAGTATTCCCAGAAACTTCTTTGTGATTTGTGCATTCAACTCACAGAGTTGAAGCTTCTTTTTGATAGAGCAGTTTTGAAACACCCTTTTTGCACAATCTGCAGGAGGATATTTGGAGCTCTTTGAGTGCTACATTGGAAACGGGAATATCGTCACCTAAAAACTAGAAAGAAGCATTCTCTGAAACCACTTTGTGATGTGTGCATTCATCTCACAGAGTTGAACCTTCCTTTTGATAGAGCAGTTTTGAAACCCTCTTTTTGTACAATCTGCAAGTGGATATTTGGAGCAAATTGAAGCCTTCTTTGGAAATGGGAATATCTTATAACTAAAAATTAGGCAGAAGCATTCTCAGAAACTACTTTGTGATGTGTGCATTCAACTCACAGAATTGAACCTTCCTTTTGATACAGCAGTTTTGAAACACTCTTTGTTTAGAATCTGCAAGTGGATATTTGGAGCACATTTATGCCTGTGGTAGAAAAGGAAATATCTTCACATAAAAACTAGACAGAAGCATTCTCAGAAACGAATTTGTGTTGTGTGCATTCTACTCCCATAGTTGAATATTTCTTTTGATAGAGCAGTCTGGAGACACTCTGTTTCTAAAATCTGCAAATGGACATTTGGAGCGCTTTGAAGGTTATGATGGAAAAGGGAATATCTTCGCATTAAAACTAGACAGAAGCATTCTCAGAAACTTCTTTGTGATGTGTGCATTCAACTCCCAGGTTGAACCTTTCTTTTGTTAGAGCAGTTTTGAAACACTCCTTTTGTAGAATCTGCAGGCGGATATTTAAGTACTCTTTGAAGCATTCTTTGGAAACGAGAATATCTTCACCTAAAACCTAGACAGAAGCATTCTCAGAAACATCTTTGTGATGTGTCCATTCATCTCACAGAGTTGATAGAACAGTTTTGATAGAGCAGTTTTGAAACACTCTTTTTAAAGAATCTGCCAGTTCATATGTGCAGTGATTTGGGGCTTATGGTAGAAAAGGAAATATCTTCCTATAAAAACTAGACAGAAGCATTCTCAGAAACGACTTTGTGATGTGTGCATTCTACACACAATGTTGAAACTTTCTTTTGATAGAGCAGTTTTGAAACAGTCTTTCCGAAGAATCTTCAAGTGGGCATTTCGAGGGCTTTGAGGACCATTGCGGATAAGGAAATATCTTCCCATAAGAAGTAGACAGAAGTATAATCAGAAACTTCATTTTGATGTGTACATTCAACTCACAAAGCAGACCCTTACTTTTGATAGAGAAGTTTTGAAACACTCTTTTTGTAGAATCTGCAATTGGATATTTGGAGCGCTTTCAGGCCTCTGGTAGAAAAGGAAATATCTTCACATAAAAACTAGACAGAAGCATTCTCAGAAACGACTTTGTGATGTGTGTATTCTACTCCCATAGTTGAACATTTCTTTTGATAGAGCCGCCTGGAAACAATCTTCTTGTAGAATCTGCAAGTGGACATTTGGAGCGTTTTGAAGGCTGTGGTTGAAAAGGTAATATCTTCACCTAAAAACTAAATGGAAGCATTCTCCGAAACTTTTTGTGATGTGTGCGTCCAACTCACAGAGCTGAACCTTCCTTTTCTTAGACCAGTTTTGAATCACTCTTTTTCTAGAATCCTCATTTAGATATTTGGAGCGCTTTGAAGACTTCATTGGAATCGCGAATACCTTCACATAAAAACTAGACAGAACCATTCTCAGAAACTTCTTTGAGATGTGTGCATTCAACTCACAGAGCTGAACCTTTCTTTTGATAGTGCAGTTTTGAAACATTCTTTTTAAAAAATCTGCAGTTGGACATTTGGAGCTCTTTTAGGCTATCGGTTGAAAAGGAAATATCTTCACATTAAAACAAGACAGAAGCATTCTCAGAAACTCCTTTATGATGTCTGCATTCAACTCACAGAGTTGAACCTTCCTTTTGATAGAGCAGTTTTGAAACACTCTTTCTGTAGAATCTGGAGGCGGATATTAGGGTGCTTTGAAGCCTTCTTGGGAAACAGGATTATCTTCACATAAAAATTAGACAGAAGCATTCTCAGAAACTTCTTTGTGATGTGTGCATTCCACTCACAGCGTTGAAACTTCCTTTTGCCAGAGCAGTTTTGAAACCCTCTTTTTGAAGAATCTGAAAGTGCATCATTGCAGCACTTTGAGGCTTAAGGTAGAAAAGGAAATATCTTCATATAAAAACTAGACAGAAGCATTCTCAGAAACTACTTTGTGATGTGTGCATTCTACTCACATAGTTGAAATTTCCTTCTGATACTGCAGTATTGAAACCGTCTTTTTGAGGAATCTTCCAGTGGGCATTTTGAGGGCTTTGGGGACTATTGTGGATAAGGAAATATCTTCACATGAAAAGTAGACAGAAGTGTTCTCAGAAACTTCATTTTGATGGGTGCATTCAAGTAACAAAGTACAACCTTACTTTTATAGAGCAGTTTTGAAACAGTCTTTTTGTAGACTCTGCAAGTGGATATTTGGAGCGCTTTGAAGCCTTCGTTGGAAACGGGAATATCTTCCCCTTGAAACCAGACAGAAGCATTCTCAGAAACTTCTTTGTGATGTGGGCATTGAACTCACGGAGCTGAACCTTCCTTTGGATTGAGCAGTTTTGAAAAACTCTTCCTTTATAATCTGCAGGTGGATATTTGGAGTGCTTTGAAGCCTTCTTTGGAAACGGGAGTATCGTCACATAAAAATAGACAGAAGTATTCCCAGAAACTTCTTTGTGATTTGTGCATTCAACTCACAGAGTTGAAGCTTCTTTTTGATAGAGCAGTTTTGAAACACCCTTTTTGCACAATCTGCAGGAGGATATTTGGAGCTCTTTGAGTGCTACATTGGAAACGGGAATATCGTCACCTAAAAACTAGAAAGAAGCATTCTCTGAAACCACTTTGTGATGTGTGCATTCATCTCACAGAGTTGAACCTTCCTTTTGATAGAGCAGTTTTGAAACCCTCTTTTTGTACAATCTGCAAGTGGATATTTGGAGCAAATTGAAGCCTTCTTTGGAAATTGGAATATCTTAAATCTAAAAATTAGGCAGAAGCATTCTCAGAAACTACTTTGTGATGTGTGCATTCAACTCACAGAATTGAACCTTCCTTTTGATACAGCAGTTTTGAAACACTCTTTTTTCAGAATCTGCAAGTGGATATTTGGAGCACATTTATGCCTGTGGTAGAAAAGGAAATATCTTCACATAAAAACTAGACAGAAGCATTCTCAGAAACGAATTTGTGTTGTGTGCATTCTACTCCCATAGTTGAAAATTTCTTTTGATAGAATAGTCTGGAACCACTCTGTTTCTAAAATCTGCAAATGGACATTTGGTGCGCTTTGAAGGTTATGATGGAAAAGGGAATATCTTCGCATTAAAACTAGACAGAAGCATTCTCAGAAACTTCTTTGTGATGTGTGCATTCAACTCCCAGGTTGAACCTTTCTTTTGTTAGAGCAGTTTTGAAACACTCCTTTTGTAGAATCTGCAGGCGGATATTTAAGTACTCTTTGAAGCATTCTTTGGAAACGAGAATATCTTCACCTAAAACCTAGACAGAAGCATTCTCAGAAACATCTTTGTGATGTGTCCATTCATCTCACAGAGTTGATAGAACAGTTTTGATAGAGCAGTTTTGAAACACTCTTTTTAAAGAATCTGCCAGTTCATATGTGCAGTGCTTTGAGGCTTATGGTAGAAAAGGAAATATCTTCCTATAAAAACTAGACAGAAGCATTCTCAGAAACGACTTTGTGATGTGTGCATTCTACACACAAAGTTGAAACTTTCTTTTGATAGAGCAGTTTTGAAACCGTCTTTCCGAAGAATATTCAAGTGGGCATTTCGAGGGCTTTGAGGACCATTGCGGATAAGGAAATATCTTCCCATAAGAAGTAGACAGAAGTATAATCAGAAACTTCATTTTGATGTGTACATTCAACTCACAAAGCAGACCCTTACTTTTGATAGAGAAGTTTTGAAACACTCTTTTTGTAGAATCTGCAATTGGATATTTGGAGCGCTTTCAGGCCTCTGGTAGAAAAGGAAATATCTTCACATAAAAACTAGACAGAAGCATTCTCAGAAACGACTTTGTGATGTGTGTATTCTACTCCCATAGTTGAACATTTCTTTTGATAGAGCCGCCTGGAAACAATCTTCTTGTACAATCTGCAAGTGGACATTTTGAGCGTTTCGAAGGCTGTGGTTGAAAAGGTAATATCTTCACCTAAAAACTAAATGGAAGCATTGTCGGAAACTTTTTGTGATGTGTGTGTTCAACTCACAGAGCTGAACCTTCCTTTTCATAGACCAGTTTTGAATCACTCTTTTTGTAGGATCCGCATTTAGATATTTGGAGCGCTTTGAAGACTTCATTGGAATCGCGAATACCTTCACATAAAAACTAGACAGAAGCATTCTCAGAAACTTCTTTGAGATGTGTGCATTCAACTCACGGAGCTGAACCTTTCTTTTGATAGTGCAGTTTTGAAACATTCTTTTTAAAAAATCTGCAGTTGGACATTTGGAGCTCTTTAAGGCTATCGGTTGAAAAGGAAATATCTTCACATTAAAACAAGACGGAAGCATTCTCAGAAACTCCTTTATGATGTCTGCATTCATCTCACAGAGTTGAACCTTCCTTTTCATAGAGCAGTTTTGAAACACTCTTTCTGTAGAATCTGGAGGCGGATATTAGGGTGCTTTGAAGCCTTCTTGGGAAACAGGATTATCTTCACATAAAAATTAGACAGAAGCATTCTCAGAAACTTCTTTGTGATGTGTGCATTCAACTCACAGCGTTGAAACTTCCTTTTGCCAGAGCAGTTTTGAAACCCTCTTTTTGAAGAATCTGAAAGTGCATAATTGCAGCACTTTGAGGCTTAAGGTCGAAAAGGAAATATCTTCATATAAAAGCTAGACAGAAGCATTCTCAGAAACTACTTTGTGATGTGTGCATTCTACTCACATAGTTGAAATTTCCTTCTGATACTGCAGTTTTGAAACAGTCTTTTTGAGGGATCTTCAAGTGGGCATTTTGAGGGCTTTGGGGACTATTGTGGATAAGGAAATATCTTCACATGAAAAGTAGACAGAAGTGTTCTCAGAAACTTCATTTTGATGGGTGCATTCCACTAAAAAAGTACAACCTTACTTTTATAGAGCAGTTTTGAAACAGTCTTTTTGTAGACTCTGCAAGCGGATATTTGGAGCGCTTTGAAGCCTTCGTTGGAAACGGGAATATCTTCCCCTTGAAACCAGACAGAAGCATTCTCAGAAACTTCTTTGTGATGTGGGCATTGAACTCACGGAGCTGAACCTTCCTTTGGATTGAGCAGTTTTGAAAAACTCTTCCTTTATAATCTGCAGGTGGATATTTGGAGTGCTTTGAAGCCTTCTTTGGAAACGGGAGTATCGTCACATAAAAATAGACAGAAGTATTCCCAGAAACTTCTTTGTGATTTGTGCATTCAACTCACAGAGTTGAAGCTTCTTTTTGATAGAGCAGTTTTGAAACACCCTTTTTGCACAATCTGCAGGAGGATATTTGGAGCTCTTTGAGTGCTACATTGGAAACGGGAATATCGTCACCTAAAAACTAGAAAGAAAGCATTCTCTGAAACCACTTTGTGATGTGTGCATTCATCTCACAGTGTTGAACCTTCCTTTTGATAGAGCAGTTTTGAAACCCTCTTTTTGTACAATCTGCAAGTGGATATTTGGAGCAAATTGAAGCCTTCTTTGGAAATGGGAATATCTTAAAATTAAAAATTAGGCAGAGCATTCTCAGAAACTACTTTGTGATGTGTGCATTCAACTCACAGAATTGAACCTTGCTTTTGATAGAGCAGTTTTGAAACACTCTTTTTTTAGAATCTGCCAGTGGATATTTGGAGCACGTTTATGCCTATGGTAGAAAAGGAAATATCTTCACATAAAAACTAGACAGAAGCATTCTCAGAAACGAATTTGTGATGTGTGCATTCTACTCCCATAGTTGAAAATTTCTTTTGGTAGAGCAGTCTGGAAACACTCTGTTTGTAAAATCTGCAAATGGACATTTGGAGCGCTTTGAAGGTTATGGTGGAGGAGGGAATATCTTCGCATTAAAACTAGACAGAAGCACTCTCAGAAACTTCTTTGTGATGTGTGCATTCAACTCCCAGGTTGAACCTTTCTTTTGTTAGAGCAGTTTTGAAACACTCCTTTTGTAGAATCTGCAGGCGGATATTTAAGTACTATTTGAAGCATTCTTTGGAAACGAGAACATCTTCACCTAAAACCTAGACAGAAGCATTCTCAGAAACGTCTTTGTGATGTGTCCACTCAACTCACACAGTTGATAGAACAGTTTTGATAGAGCAGTTTTGAAACACTCTTTTTGAAGAATCTGCCAGTTCATATGTGCAGTGCTTTGAGGCTGATGGTAGAAAAGGAAATATCTTCCTATAAAAACTAGACAGAAGCATTCTCAGAAACGACTTTGTGATGTGTGCATTCTACACACAAAGTGGAAACTTTCTTTTGATAGAGCAGTTTTGAAACAGTCTTTCCGAAGAATCTTCAAGTGGGCATTTCGAGGGCTTTGAGGACCATTGCGGATAAGGAAATATCTTCACATAAGAAGTAGACAGAAGTATAATCAGAAACTTCATTTTGATGTGTACATTCAACTCACAAAGCAGACCCTTACTTTTGATAGAGAAGTTTTGAAACACTCTTTTTGTAGAATCTGCAATTGGATATTTGGAGCGCTTTCAGGCCTCTGGTAGAAAAGGAAATATCTTCACATAAAAACTAGACAGAAGCATTCTCAGAAACGACTTTGTGATGTGTGTATTCTACTCCCATAGTTGAACATTTCTTTTGATAGAGCTGCCTGGAAACAATCTTCTTGTAGAATCTGCAAGTGGACATTTGGAGCGTTTTGAAGGCTGTGGTTGAAAAGGTAATATCTTCACCTAAAAACTAAATGGGAGCATTCTCCGAAACTTTTTGTGATGTGTGCGTTCAACTCACAGAGCTGAACCTTCCTTTTCATAGACCAGTTTTGAATCACTCTTTTTGTAGAATCCGCATTTAGATATTTGGAGCGCATTGAAGACTTCATTGGAATCGCGAATATCTTCACATAAAAACTAGACAGAACCATTCTCAGAAACTTCTTTGAGATGTGTGCATTCAACTCACAGAACTGAACCTTTCTTTTGATAGTGCAGTTTTGAAACATTCTTTTTAAAAAATCTGCAGTTGGACATTTGGAGCTCTTTTAGGCTATCGGTTGAAAAGGAAATATCTTCACATTAAAACAAGACAGAAGCATTCTCAGAAACTCCTTTATGATGTCTGCATTCAACTCACAGAGTTCAACCTTCCTTTTGATAGAGCAGTTTTGAAACACTCTTTCTGTAGAATCTGGAGGAGGATATTAGGGTGCTTTGAAGCCTTCTTGGGAAACAGGATTATCTTCACATAAAAATTAGACAGAAGCATTCTCAGAAACTTCTTTGTGATGTGTGCATTCAACTCACAGCGTTGAAACTTCCTTTTGCCAGAGCAGTTTTGAAACCCTCTTTTTGAAGAATCTGAAAGTGCAAAATTGCAGCACTTTGAGGCTTAAGGTCGAAAAGGAAATATCTTCATATAAAAACTAGACAGAAGCATTCTCAGAAACTACTTTGTGATGTGTGCATTCTACTCACATAGTTGAAATTTCCTTCTGATACTGCAGTTTTGAAACCGTCTTTTTGAGGAATCTTCGGGTGGGCATTTTGAGGGCTTTGGGGACTATTGTGGATAAGGAAATATCTTCACATGAAAAGTAGACAGAAGTGTTCTCAGAAACTTCATTTTGATGGGTGCATTCAACTAACAAGGTACAACCTTACTTTTATAGAGCAGTTTTGAAACAGTCTTTTTGTAGACTCTGCAAGTGGATATTTGGAGCGCTTTGAAGCCTTCGTTGGAAACGGGAATATCTTCCCCTTGAAACTAGACAGAAGCATTCTCAGAAACTTCTTTGTGATGTGGGCATTGAACTCACGGAGCTGAACCTTCCTTTGGATTGAGCAGTTTTGAAAAACTCTTCCTTTATAATCTGCAGGTGGATATTTGGAGTGCTTTGAAGCCTTCTTTGGAAACGGGAGTATCGTCACATAAAAATAGACAGAAGTATTCCCAGAAACTTCTTTGTGATTTGTGCATTCAACTCACAGAGTTGAAGCTTCTTTTTGATAGAGCAGTTTTGAAACACCCTTTTTGCACAATCTGCAGGAGGATATTTGGAGCTCTTTGAGTGCTACATTGGAAACGGGAATATCGTCACCTGAAAACTAGAAACAAGCATTCTCTGAAACCACTTTGTGATGTGTGCATTCATCTCACAGAGTTGAACCTTCCTTTTGATAGAGCAGTTTTGAAACCCTCTTTTTGTACAATCTGCAAGTGGATATTTGGAGCAAATTGAAGCCTTCTTTGGAAATGGGAATATCTTAAAATTAAAAATTAGGCAGAAGCATTCTCAGAAACGAATTTGTGATGTGTGCATTCAACTCACAGAATTGAACCTTCCTTTTGATAGAGCAGTTTTGAAACACTCTTTTTTTAGAATCTGCCAGTGGATATTTGGAGCACATTTATGCCTATGGTAGAAAAGGAAATATCTTCACATAAAAACTAGACAGAAGCATTCTCAGAAACGAATTTGTGTTGTGTGCATTCTACTCCCATAGTTGAAAATTTCTTTTGATAGAGCAGTCTGGAAACACTCTGTTTCTAAAATCTGCAAATGGACATTTGGAGCGCTTTGAAGGTTATGATGGAAAAGGGAATATCTTCGCATTAAAACTAGACAGAAGCATTCTCAGAAACTTCTTTGTGATGTGTGCATTCAACTCCCAGGTTGAACCTTTCTTTTGTTAGAGCAGTTTTGAAACACTCCTTTTGTAGAATCTGCAGGCGGATATTTAAGTACTCTTTGAAGCATTCTTTGGAAACGAGAATATCTTCACCTAAAACCTAGACAGAAGCATTCTCAGAAACATCTTTGTGATGTGTCCATTCATCTCACAGAGTTGATAGAACAGTTTTGATAGAGCAGTTTTAAAACACCCTTTTTAAAGAATCTGCCAGTTCATATGTGCAGTGCTTTGAGGCTTATGGTAGAAAAGGAAATATCTTCATATAAAAACTAGACAGAAGCATTCTCAGAAACGAGTTTGTGATGTGTGCATTCTATACACAAAGTTGAAACTTTCTTTTGATAGAGCAGTTTTGAAACAGTCTTTCCGAAGAATCTTCAAGTGGGCATTTCGAGGGCTTTGAGGACCATTGCGGATAAGGAAATATCTTCCCATAAGAAGTAGACAGAAGTATAATCAGAAACTTCATTTTGATGTGTACATTCAACTCACAAAGCAGACCCTTACTTTTGATAGAGAAGTTTTGAAACACTCTTGTTGTAGAATCTGCAATTGGATATTTGGAGCGCTTTCAGGCCTCTGGTAGAAAAGGAAATATCTTCACATAAAAACTAGACAGAAGCATTCTCAGAAACGACTTTGTGATGTGTGTATTCTACTCCCATAGTTGAACATTTCTTTTGATAGAGCCGCCTGGAAGCAATCTTCTTGTAGAATCTGCAAGTGGACATTTGGAGCGTTTTGAAGGCTGTGGTTGAAAAGGTAATATCTTCACCTAAAAACTAAATGGAAGCATTCTCAGAAACTTTCTGTGATGTGTGCGTTCAACTCACAGAGCTGAACCTTCCTTTTCATAGACCAGTTTTGAATCACTCTTTTTGTAGGATCCGCATTTAGATATTTGGAGCGCTTTGAAGACTTCATTGGAATCGCGAATATCTTCACATAAAAACTAGACAGAAGCATTCTCAGAAACTTCTTTGAGATGTGTGCATTCAACTCACGGAGCTGAACCTTTCTTTTGATAGTGCAGTTTTGAAACATTCTTTTTAAAAAATCTGCAGTTGGACATTTGGAGCTCTTTTAGGCTATCGGTTGAAAAGGAAATATCTTCACATTAAAACAAGACGGAAGCATTCTCAGAAACTCCTTTATGATGTCTGCATTCAACTCACAGAGTTGAACCTTCCTTTTGATAGAGCAGTTTTGAAACACTCTTTCTGTAGAATCTGGAGGCGGATATTAGGGTGCTTTGAAGCCTTCTTGGGAAACAGGATTATCTTCACATAAAAATTAGACAGAAGCATTCTCAGAAACTTCTTTGTGATGTGTGCATTCAACTCACAGCGTTGAAACTTCCTTTTGCTAGAGCAGTTTTGAAACCCTCTTTTTGAAGAATCTGAAAGTGCATAATTGCAGCACTTTGAGGCTTAAGGTAGAAAAGGAAATATCTTCATATAAAAACTAGACAGAAGCATTCTCAGAAACTACTTTGTGATGTGTGCATTCTACTCACATAGTTGAAATTTCCTTCTGATACTGCAGTTTTGAAACCGTCTTTTTGAGGAATCTTCCAGTGGGCATTTTGAGGGCTTTGGGGACTATTGTGGATAAGGAAATATCTTCACATGAAAAGTAGACAGAAGTGTTCTCAGAAACTTCATTTTGATGGGTGCATTCAACTAACAAGGTACAACCTTACTTTTATAGAGCAGTTTTGAAACAGTCTTTTTGTAGACTCTGCAAGTGGATATTTGGAGCGCTTTGAAGCCTTCGTTGGAAACGGGAATATCTTCCCCTTGAAACTAGACAGAAGCATTCTCAGAAACTTCTTTGTGATGTGGGCATTGAACTCACGGAGCTGAACCTTCCTTTGGATTGAGCAGTTTTGAAAAACTCTTCCTTTATAATCTGCAGGTGGATATTTGGAGTGCTTTGAAGCCTTCTTTGGAAACGGGAGTATCGTCACATAAAAATAGACAGAAGTATTCCCAGAAACTTCTTTGTGATTTGTGCATTCAACTCACAGAGTTGAAGCTTCTTTTTGATAGAGCAGTTTTGAAACACCCTTTTTGCACAATCTGCAGGAGGATATTTGGAGCTCTTTGAGTGCTACATTGGAAACGGGAATATCGTCACCTGAAAACTAGAAACAAGCATTCTCTGAAACCACTTTGTGATGTGTGCATTCATCTCACAGAGTTGAACCTTCCTTTTGATAGAGCAGTTTTGAAACCCTCTTCATGTACAATCTGCAAGTGGATATTTGGAGCAAATTGAAGCCTTCTTTGGAAATGGGAATATCTTAAAATTAAAAATTAGGCAGAAGCATTCTCAGAAACTACTTTGTGATGTGTGCATTCAACTCACAGAATTGAACCTTCCTTTTGATAGAGCAGTTTTGAAACACTCTTTTTTTAGAATCTGCCAGTGGATATTTGGAGCACGTTTATGCCTATGGTAGAAAAGGAAATATCTTCACATAAAAACTAGACAGAAGCATTCTCAGAAACGAATTTGTGATGTGTGCATTCTACTCCCATAGTTGAAAATTTCTTTTGGTAGAGCAGTCTGGAAACACTCTGTTTGTAAAATCTGCAAATGGACATTTGGAGCGCTTTGAAGGTTATGGTGGAGGAGGGAATATCTTCGCATTAAAACTAGACAGAAGCACTCTCAGAAACTTCTTTGTGATGTGTGCATTCAACTCCCAGGTTGAACCTTTCTTTTGTTAGAGCAGTTTTGAAACACTCCTTTTGTAGAATCTGCAGGCGGATATTTAAGTACTATTTGAAGCATTCTTTGGAAACGAGAACATCTTCACCTAAAACCTAGACAGAAGCATTCTCAGAAACGTCTTTGTGATGTGTCCACTCAACTCACAGAGTTGATAGAACAGTTTTGATAGAGCAGTTTTGAAACACTCTTTTTGAAGAATCTGCCAGTTCATATGTGCAGTGCTTTGAGGCTGATGGTAGAAAAGGAAATATCTTTCTATAAAAACTAGACAGAAGCATTCTCAGAAACGACTTTGTGATGTGTGCATTCTACACACAAAGTTGAAACTTTCTTTTGATAGAGCAGTTTTGAAACAGTCTTTCCGAAGAATCTTCAAGTGGGCATTTCGAGGGCTTTGAGGACCATTGCGGATAAGGAAATATCTTCACATAAGAAGTAGACAGAAGTATAATCAGAAACTTCATTTTGATGTGTACATTCAACTCACAAAGCAGACCCTTACTTTTGATAGAGAAGTTTTGAAACACTCTTTTTGTAGAATCTGCAATTGGATATTTGGAGCGCTTTCAGGCCTCTGGTAGAAAAGGAAATATCTTCACATAAAAACTAGACAGAAGCATTTTCAGAAACGACTTTGTGATGTGTGTATTCTACTCCCATAGTTGAACATTTCTTTTGATAGAGCCGCCTGGAAACAATCTTCTTGTAGAATCTGCAAGTGGACATTTGGAGCGTTTTGAAGGCTGTGGTTGAAAAGGTAATATCTTCACCTAAAAACTAAATGGAAGCTTTGTCCGAAACTTTTTGTGATGTGTGCGTTCAACTCACGGAGCTGAACCTTCCTTTTCATAGACCAGTTTTGAATCACTCTTTTTGTAGAATCCGCATTTAGATATTTGGAGCGCTTTGAAGACTTCATTGGAATCGCGAATACCTTCACATAAAAACTAGACAGAACCATTCTCAGAAACTTCTTTGAGATGTGTGCATTCAACTCACAGAGCTGAACCTTTCTTTTGATAGTGCAGTTTTGAAACATTCTTTTTAAAAAATCTGCAGTTGGACATTTGGAGCTCTTTTAGGCTATCGGTTGAAAAGGAAATATCTTCACATTAAAACAAGACAGAAGCATTCTCAGAAACTCCTTTATGATGTCTGCATTCAACTCACAGAGTTGAACCTTCCTTTTGATAGAGCAGTTTTGAAACACTCTTTCTGTAGAATCTGGAGGCGGATATTAGGGTGCTTTGAAGCCTTCTTGGGAAACAGGATTATCTTCACATAAAAATTAGACAGAAGCATTCTCAGAAACTTCTTTGTGATGTGTGCATTCAACTCACAGCGTTGAAACTTCCTTTTGCTAGAGCAGTTTTGAAACCCTCTTTTTGAAGAATCTGAAAGTGCGTAATTGCAGCACTTTGAGGCTTAAGGTAGAAAAGGAAATATCTTCATATAAAAACTAGACAGAAGCATTCTCAGAAACTACTTTGTGATGTGTGCATTCTACTCACATAGTTGAAATTTCCTTCTGATACTGCAGTTTTGAAACAGTCTTTTTGAGGGATCTTCAAGTGGGCATTTTGAGGGCTTTGGGGACTATTGTGGATAAGGAAATATCTTCACATGAAAAGTAGACAGAAGTGTTCTCAGAAACTTCATTTTGATGGGTGCATTCCACTAACAAAGTACAACCTTACTTTTATAGAGCAGTTTTGAAACAGTCTTTTTGTAGACTCTGCAAGTGGATATTTGGAGCGCTTTGAAGCCTTCGTTGGAAACGGGAATATCTTCCCCTTGAAACTAGACAGAAGCATTCTCAGAAACTTCTTTGTGATGTGGGCATTGAACTCACGGATCTGAACCTTCCTTTGGATTGAGCAGTTTTGAAAAACTCTTCCTTTATAATCTGCAGGTGGATATTTGGAGTGCTTTGAAGCCTTCTTTGGAAACGGGAGTATCGTCACATAAAAATAGACAGAAGTATTCCCAGAAACTTCTTTGTGATTTGTGCATTCAACTCACAGAGTTGAAGCTTCTTTTTGATAGAGCAGTTTTGAAACACCCTTTTTGCACAATCTGCAGGAGGATATTTGGAGCTCTTTGAGTGCTACATTGGAAACGGGAATATCGTCACCTAAAAACTAGAAAGAAGCATTCTGTGAAACCACTTTGTGATGTGTGCATTCATCTCACAGAGTTGAACCTTCCTTTTGATAGAGCAGTTTTGAAACCCTCTTTTTGTACAATCTGCAAGTGGATATTTGGAGCAAATTGAAGCCTTCTTTGGAAATGGGAAATCTTAAATCTAAAAATTAGGCAGAAGCATTCTCAGAAACTACTTTGTGATGTGTGCATTCAACTCACAGAATTGAACCTTCCTTTTGATGGAGCAGTTTTGAAACACTCTTTTTTTAGAATCTGCAAGTGGATATTTGGAGCACATGTATGCCTACGTTAGAAAAGGAAATATCTTCACATAAAAACTAGACAGAAGCATTCTCAGAAACGCATTTGTGATGTGTGCATTCTACTCCCATAGTTGAAAATTTCTTTTGATAGAGCAGTCTGGAAACACTCTGTTTGTAAAATCTGCAAATGGACATTTGGAGCGCTTTGAAGGTTATGGTGGAAAAGGAAATATCTTCGCATTAAAACTAGACAGAAGCATTCTCAGAAACTTCTTTGTGATGTGTGCATTCAACTCCCAGGTTGAACCTTTCTTTTGTTAGAGCAGTTTTGAAACACTCCTTTTGTAGAATCTGCAGGCGGATATTTAAGTACTATTTGAAGCATTCTTTGGAAACGAGAATATCTTCACCTAAAACCTAGACGGAAGCATTCTCAGAAACATCTTTGTGATGTGTCCATTCATCTCACAGAGTTGATAGAACAGTTTTGATAGAGCAGTTTTGAAACACTCTTTTTAAAGAATCTGCCAGTTCATATGTGCAGTGCTTTGAGGCTTATGGTAGAAAAGGAAATATCTTCATATAAAAACTAGACAGAAGCATTCTCAGAAACGACTTTGTGATGTGTGCATTCTACACACAAAGTTGAAACTTCCTTTTGATAGAGCAGTTTTGAAACCGTCTTTCCGAAGAATCTTCAAGTGGGCATTTCGAGGGCTTTGAGGACCATTGCGGATAAGGAAATATCTTCCCATAAGAAGTAGACAGAAGTATAATCAGAAACTTCATTTTGATGTGTACATTCAACTCACAAAGCAGACCCTTACTTTTGATAGAGAAGTTTTGAAACACTCTTTTTGTAGAATCTGCAATTGGATCTTTGGAGCGCTTTCAGGCCTCTGGTAGAAAAGGAAATATCTTCACATAAAAACTAGACAGAAGCATTTTCAGAAACGACTTTGTGATGTATGTATTCTACTCCCATAGTTGAACATTTCTTTTGATAGAGCCGCCTGGAAACAATCTTCTTTTAGAATCTGCAAGTGGACATTTGGAGCGTTTTGAAGGCTGTGGTTGAAAAGGTAATATCTTCACCTAAAAACTAAATGGAAGCATTGTCCGAAACGTTTTGTGATGTGTGCGTTCAACTCACAGAGCTGAACCTTCCTTTTCATAGACCAGTTTTGAATCACTCTTTTTGTAGAATCCACATTTAGAGATTTGGAGCGCTTTGAAGACTTCATTGGAATCGCGAATACCTTCACATAAAAACTAGACAGAACCATTCTCAGAAACTTCTTTGAGATGTGTGCATTCAACTCACAGAGCTGAACCTTTCTTTTGATAGTGCAGTTTTGAAACATTCTTTTTAAAAAATCTGCAGTTGGACATTTGGAGCTCTTTTAGGCTATCGGTTGAAAAGGAAATATCTTCACATTAAAACAAGACAGAAGCATTCTCAGAAACTCCTTTATGATGTCTGCATTCAACTCACAGAGTTGAACCTTCCTTTCCATAGAGCAGTTTTGAAACACTCTTTCTGTAGAATCTGGAGGCGGATATTAGGGTGCTTTGAAGCCTTCTTGGGAAACAGGATTATCTTCACATAAAAATTAGACAGAAACATTCTCAGAAACTTCTTTGTGATGTGTGCATTCAACTCACAGCGTTGAAACTTCCTTTTGCCAGAGCAGTTTTGAAACCCTCTTTTTGAGGAATCTGAAAGTGCATAATTGCAGCACTTTGAGGCTTAAGGTCGAAAAGGAAATATCTTCATATAAAAACTAGACAGAAGCATTCTCAGAAACTACTTTGTGATGTGTGCATTCTACTCACATAGTTGAAATTTCCTTCTGATACTGCAGTTTTGAAACAGTCTTTTTGAGGGATCTTCAAGTGGGCATTTTGAGGGCTTTGGGGACTATTGTGGATAAGGAAATATCTTCACATGAAAAGTAGACAGAAGTGTTCTCAGAAACTTCATTTTGATGGGTGCATTCCACTAACAAAGTACAACCTTACTTTTATAGAGCAGTTTTGAAACAGTCTTTTTGTAGACTCTGCAAGTGGATATTTGGAGCGCTTTGAAGCCTTCGTTGGAAACGGGAATATCTTCCCCTTGAAACTAGACAGAAGCATTCTCAGAAACTTCTTTGTGATGTGGGCATTGAACTCACGGAGCTGAACCTTCCTTTGGATTGAGCAGTTTTGAAAAACTCTTCCTTTATAATCTGCAGGTGGATATTTGGAGTGCTTTGAAGCCTTTCTTTGGAAACGGGAGTATCGTCACATAAAAATAGACAGAAGTATTCCCAGAAACTTCTTTGTGATTTGTGCATTCAACTCACAGAGTTAAAGCTTCTTTTTGATAGAGCAGTTTTGAAACACCCTTTTTGCACAATCTGCAGGAGGATATTTGGAGCTCTTTGAGTGCTACATTGGAAACGGGAATATCGTCACCTGAAAACTGGAAACAAGCATTCTCTGAAACCACTTTGTGATGTGTGCATTCATCTCACAGAGTTGAACCTTCCTTTTGATAGAGCAGTTTTGAAACCCTCTTTTTGTACAATCTGCAAGTGGATATTTGGAGCAAATTGAAGCCTTCTTTGGAAATGGGAATATCTTAAATCTAAAAATTAGGCAGAAGCATTCTCAGAAACTACTTTGTGATGTGTGCATTCAACTCACAGAATTGAACCTTCCTTTTGATACAGCAGTTTTGAAACACTCTTTGTTTAGAATCTGCAAGTGGATATTTGGAGCACATTTATGCCTGTGGTAGAAAAGGAAATATCTTCACATAAAAACTAGACGGAAGCATTCTCAGAAACGAATTTGTGTTGTGTGCATTCTACTCCCATAGTTGAAAATTTCTTTTGATAGAGCAGTCTGGAAACACTCTGTTTCTAAAATCTGCAAATGGACATTTGGAGCGCTTTGAAGGTAATGATGGAAAAGGGAATATCTTCGCATTAAAACTAGACAGAAGCATTCTCAGAAACTTCTTTGTGATGTGTGCATTCAACTCCCAGGTTGAACCTTTCTTTTGTTAGAGCAGTTTTGAAACACTCCTTTTGTAGAATCTGCAGGCGGATATTTAAGTACTCTTTGAAGCATTCTTTGGAAACGAGAATATCTTCACCTAAAACCCCGACAGAAGCATTCTCAGAAACGTCTTTGTGATGTGTCCACTCAACTCACAGAGTTGATAGAACAGTTTTGATAGAGCAGTTTTGAAACACTCTTTTTGAAGAATCTGCCAGTTCATATGTGCAGTGCTTTGAGGCTTATGGTAGAAAAGGAAATATCTTCATATAAAAACTAGACAGAAGCATTCTCAGAAACGACTTTGTGATGTGTGCATTCTACACACAAAGTTGAAACTTTCTTTTGATAGAGCAGTTTTGAAACAGTCTTTCCGAAGAATCTTCAAGTGGGCATTTCGAGGGCTTTGAGGACCATTGCGGATAAGGAAATATCTTCACATAAGAAGTAGACAGAAGTATAATCAGAAACTTCATTTTGATGTGTACATTCAACTCACAAAGCAGACCCTTACTTTTGATAGAGAAGTTTTGAAACACTCTTTTTGTAGAATCTGCAATTGGATATTTGGAGCGCTTTCAGGCCTCTGGTAGAAAAGGAAATATCTTCACATAAAAACTAGACAGAAGCATTCTCAGAAACGACTTTGTGATGTGTGTATTCTACTCCCATAGTTGAACATTTCTTTTGATAGAGCCGCCTGGAAACAATCTTCTTGTAGAATCTGCAAGTGGACATTTGGAGCGTTTCGAAGGCTGTGGTTGAAAAGGTAATATCTTCACCTAAAAACTAAATGGAAGCATTGTCGGAAACTTTTTGTGATGTGTGCGTTCAACTCACAGAGCTGAACCTTCCTTTTCATAGACCAGTTTTGAATCACTCTTTTTGTAGGATCCGCATTTAGATATTTGGAGCGCTTTGAAGACTTCATTGGAATCGCGAATACCTTCACATAAAAACTAGACAGAACCATTCTCAGAAACTTCTTTGAGATGTGTGCATTCAACTCACAGAGCTGAACCTTTCTTTTGATAGTGCAGTTTTGAAACATTCTTTTTAAAAAATCTGCAGTTGGACATTTGGAGCTCTTTTAGGCTATCGGTTGAAAAGGAAATATCTTCACATTAAAACAAGACAGAAGCATTCTCAGAAACTCCTTTATGATGTCTGCATTCAACTCACAGAGTTGAACCTTCCTTTTCATAGAGCAGTTTTGAAACACTCTTTCTGTAGAATCTGGAGGCGGATATTAGGGTGCTTTGAAGCCTTCTTGGGAAACAGGATTATCTTCACATAAAAATTAGACAGAAGCATTCTCAGAAACTTCTTTGTGATGTGTGCATTCAACTCACAGCGTTGAAACTTCCTTTTGCCGGAGCAGTTTTGAAACCCTCTTTTTGAAGAATCTGAAAGTGCATAATTGCAGCACTTTGAGGCTTAAGGTCGAAAAGGAAATATCTTCATATAAAAACTAGACAGAAGCATTCTCAGAAACTACTTTGTGATGTGTGCATTCTACTCACATAGTTGAAATTTCCTTCTGATACTGCAGTTTTGAAACAGTCTTTTTGAGGGATCTTCAAGTGGGCATTTTGAGGGCTTTGGGGACTATTGTGGATAAGGAATTATCTTCACATGAAAAGTAGACAGAAGTGTTCTCAGAAACTTCATTTTGATGGGTGCATTCAAGTAACAAAGTACAACCTTACTTTTATAGAGCAGTTTTGAAACAGTCTTTTTGTAGACTCTGCAAGTGGATATTTGGAGCGCTTTGAAGCCTTCGTTGGAAACGGGAATATCTTCCCCTTGAAACCAGACAGAAGCATTCTCAGAAACTTCTTTGTGATGTGGGCATTGAACTCACGGAGCTGAACCTTCCTTTGGATTGAGCAGTTTTGAAAAACTCTTCCTTTATAATCTGCAGGTGGATATTTGGAGTGCTTTGAAGCCTTCTTTGGAAACGGGAGTATCGTCACATAAAAATAGACAGAAGTATTCCCAGAAACTTCTTTGTGATTTGTGCATTCAACTCACAGAGTTGAAGCTTCTTTTTGATAGAGCAGTTTTGAAACACCCTTTTTGCACAATCTGCAGGAGGATATTTGGAGCTCTTTGAGTGCTACATTGGAAACGGGAATATCGTCACCTGAAAACTAGAAACAAGCATTCTCTGAAACCACTTTGTGATG
Source organism: Homo sapiens (assembly GCF_000001405.40). NCBI lineage: Eukaryota > Metazoa > Chordata > Mammalia > Primates > Hominidae > Homo > Homo sapiens. The sequence continues at coordinate 61,419,339 of NC_000007.14, forward strand.
TGTGCATTCATCTCACAGAGTTGAACCTTCCTTTTGATAGAGCAGTTTTGAAACCCTCTTTTTGTACAATCTGCAAGTGGATATTTGGAGCAAATTGAAGCCTTCTTTGGAAATGGGAATATCTTAAATCTAAAAATTAGGCAGAAGCATTCTCAGAAACTACTTTGTGATGTGTGCATTCAACTCACAGAATTGAACCTTCCTTTTGATAGAGCAGTTTTGAAACACTCTTTTTTTAGAATCTGCCAGTGGATATTTGGAGCACGTTTATGCCTATGGTAGAAAAGGAAATATCTTCACATAAAAACTAGACAGAAGCATTCTCAGAAACGAATTTGTGATGTGTGCATTCTACTCCCATAGTTGAAAATTTCTTTTGGTAGAGCAGTCTGGAAACACTCTGTTTGTAAAATCTGCAAATGGACATTTGGAGCGCTTTGAAGGTTATGGTGGAAGAGGGAATATCTTCGCATTAAAACTAGACAGAAGCATTCTCAGAAACTTCTTTGTGATGTGTGCATTCAACTCCCAGGTTGAACCTTTCTTTTGTTAGAGCAGTTTTGAAACACTCCTTTTGTAGAATCTGCAGGTGGATATTTAAGTACTCTTTGAAGCATTCTTTGGAAACGAGAATATCTTCACCTAAAACCTAGACAGAAGCATTCTCAGAAACGTCTTTGTGATGTGTCCACTCAACTCACAGAGTTGATAGAACAGTTTTGATAGAGCAGTTTTGAAACACTCTTTTTGAAGAATCTGCCAGTTCATATGTGCAGTGCTTTGAGGCTGATGGTAGAAAAGGAAATATCTTCCTATAAAAACTAGACAGAAGCATTCTCAGAAACGACTTTGTGATGTGTGCATTCTACACACAAAGTGGAAACTTTCTTTTGATAGAGCAGTTTTGAAACAGTCTTTCCGAAGAATCTTCAAGTGGGCATTTCGAGGGCTTTGAGGACCATTGCGGATAAGGGAATATCTTCACATAAGAAGTAGACAGAAGTATAATCAGAAACTTCATTTTGATGTGTACATTCAACTCACAAAGCAGACCCTTACTTTTGATAGAGAAGTTTTGAAACACTCTTTTTGTAGAATCTGCAATTGGATATTTGGAGCGCTTTCAGGCCTCTGGTAGAAAAGGAAATATCTTCACATAAAAACTAGACAGAAGCATTCTCAGAAACGACTTTGTGATGTGTGTATTCTACTCCCATAGTTGAACATTTCTTTTGATAGAGCCGCCTGGAAACAATCTTCTTGTAGAATCTGCAAGTGGACATTTGGAGCGTTTTGAAGGCTGTGGTTGAAAAGGTAACATCTTCACCTAAAAACTAAATGGAAGCATTGTCGGAAACTTTTTGTGATGTGTGCGTTCAACTCACAGAGCTGAACCTTCCTTTTCATAGACCAGTTTTGAATCACTCTTTTTGTAGAATCCGCATTTAGATATTTGGAGCGCTTTGAAGACTTCATTGGAATTGCGAATACCTTCACATAAAAACTAGACAGAACCATTCTCAGAAACTTCTTTGAGATGTGTGCATTCACCTCACAGAGCTGAACCTTTCTTTTGATAGTGCAGTTTTCAAACATTCTTTTTAAAAAATCTGCAGTTGGACATTTGGAGCTCTTTTAGGCTATCGGTTGAAAAGGAAATATCTTCACATTAAAACAAGACAGAAGCATTCTCAGAAACTCCTTTATGATGTCTGCATTCAACTCACAGAGTTGAACCTTCCTTTTCATAGAGCAGTTTTGAAACACTCTTTCTGTAGAATCTGGAGGCGGATATTAGGGTGCTTTGAAGCCTTCTTGGGAAACAGGATTATCTTCACATAAAAATTAGACAGAAGCATTCTCAGAAACTTCTTTGTGATGTGTGCATTCAACTCACAGCGTTGAAACTTCCTTTTGCCAGAGCAGTTTTGAAACCCTCTTTTTGAAGAATCTGAAAGTGCATAATTGCAGCACTTTGAGGCTTAAGGTCGAAAAGGAAATATCTTCATATAAAAACTAGACAGAAGCATTCTCAGAAACTACTTTGTGATGTGTGCATTCTACTCACATAGTTGAAATTTCCTTCTGATACTGCAGTTTTGAAACAGTCTTTTTGAGGGATCTTCAAGTGGGCATTTTGAGGGCTTTGGGGACTATTGTGGATAAGGAATTATCTTCACATGAAAAGTAGACAGAAGTGTTCTCAGAAACTTCATTTTGATGGGTGCATTCAAGTAACAAAGTACAACCTTACTTTTATAGAGCAGTTTTGAAACAGTCTTTTTGTAGACTCTGCAAGTGGATATTTGGAGCGCTTTGAAGCCTTCGTTGGAAACGGGAATATCTTCCCCTTGAAACCAGACAGAAGCATTCTCAGAAACTTCTTTGTGATGTGGGCATTGAACTCACGGAGCTGAACCTTCCTTTGGATTGAGCAGTTTTGAAAAACTCTTCCTTTATAATCTGCAGGTGGATATTTGGAGTGCTTTGAAGCCTTCTTTGGAAACGGGAGTATCGTCACATAAAAATAGACAGAAGTATTCCCAGAAACTTCTTTGTGATTTGTGCATTCAACTCACAGAGTTGAAGCTTCTTTTTGATAGAGCAGTTTTGAAACACCCTTTTTGCACAATCTGCAGGAGGATATTTGGAGCTCTTTGAGTGCTACATTGGAAACGGGAATATCGTCACCTAAAAACTAGAAAGAAGCATTCTCTGAAACCACTTTGTGATGTGTGCATTCATCTCACAGAGTTGAACCTTCCTTTTGATAGAGCAGTTTTGAAACCCTCTTCATGTACAATCTGCAAGTGGATATTTGGAGCAAATTGAAGCCTTCTTTGGAAATGGGAATATCTTAAAATTAAAAATTAGGCAGAAGCATTCTCAGAAACTACTTTCTGATGTGTGCATTCAACTCACAGAATTGAACCTTCCTGTTGATAGAGCAGTTTTGAAACACTCTTTTTTTAGAATCTGCCAGTGGATATTTGGAGCACGTTTATGCCTATGGTAGAAAAGGAAATATCTTCACATAAAAACTAGACAGAAGCATTCTCAGAAACGAATTTGTGATGTGTGCATTCTACTCCCAGAGTTGAAAATTTCTTTTGGTAGAGCAGTCTGGAAACACTCTGTTTGTAAAACTGCAAATGGACATTTGGAGCGCTTTGAAGGTTATGGTGGAAGAGGGAATATCTTCGCATTAAAACTAGACAGAAGCACTCTCAGAAACTTCTTTGTGATGTGTGCATTCAACTCCCAGGTTGAACCTTTCTTTTGTTAGAGCAGTTTTGAAACACTCCTTTTGTAGAATCTGCAGGCGGATATTTAAGTACTATTTGAAGCATTCTTTGGAAACGAGAACATCTTCACCTAAAACCTAGACAGAAGCATTCTCAGAAACATCTTTGTGATGTGTCCATTCATCTCACAGAGTTGATAGAACAGTTTTGATAGAGCAGTTTTGAAACACTTTTTAAAGGATCTGCCAGTTCATATGTGCAGTGCTTTGAGGCTTATGGTAGAAAAGGAAATATCTTCATATAAAACCTAGACAGAAGCATTCTCAGAAACGACTTTGTGATGTGTGCATTCTACACACAAAGTTGAAACTTTCTTTTGATAGAGCAGTTTTGAAACAGTCTTTCCGAAGAATCTTCAAGTGGGCATTTCGAGGGCTTTGAGGACCATTGCGGATAAGGAAATATCTTCCCATAAGAAGTAGACAGAAGTATAATCAGAAACTTCATTTTGATGTGTACATTCAACTCACAAAGCAGACCCTTACTTTTGATAGAGAAGTTTTGAAACACTGTTTTTGTAGAATCTGCAATTGGATGTTTGGAGCGCTTTCAGGCCTCTGGTAGAAAAGGAAATATCTTCACATAAAAACTAGACAGAAGCATTCTCAGAAACGACTTTGTGATGTGTGTATTCTACTCCCATAGTTGAACATTTCTTTTGATAGAGCCACCTGGAAACAATCTTCTTGTAGAATCTGCAAGTGGACATTTGGAGCGTTTCGAAGGCTGTGGTTGAAAAGGTAATATCTTCACCTAAAAACTAAATGGAAGCATTGTCGGAAACTTTTTGTGATGTGTGCGTTCAACTCACAGAGCTGAACCTTCCTTTTCATAGACCAGTTTTGAATCACTCTTTTTGTAGAATCCGCATTTAGATATTTGGAGCGCTTTGAAGACTTCATTGGAATCGCGAATACCTTCACATAAAAACTAGACAGAACCATTCTCAGAAACTTCTTTGAGATGTGTGCATTCAACTCACAGAGCTGAACCTTTCTTTTGATAGTGCAGTTTTGAAACATTCTTTTTAAAAAATCTTCAGTTGGACATTTGGAGCTCTTTTAGGCTATCGGTTGAAAAGGAAATATCTTCACATTAAAACAAGACAGAAGCATTCTCAGAAACTCCTTTATGATGTCTGCATTCAACTCACAGAGTTGAACCTTCCTTTCCATAGAGCAGTTTTGAAACACTCTTTCTGTAGAATCTGGAGGCGGATATTAGGGTGCTTTGAAGCCTTCTTGGGAAACAGGATTATCTTCACATAAAAATTAGACAGAAGCATTCTCAGAAACTTCTTTGTGATGTGTGCATTCAACTCACAGCGTTGAAACTTCCTTTTGCCAGAGCAGTTTTGAAACCCTCTTTTTGAAGAATCTGAAAGTGCATAATTGCAGCACTTTGAGGCTTAAGGTCGAAAAGGAAATATCTTCATATAAAAACTAGACAGAAGCATTCTCAGAAACTACTTTGTGATGTGTGCATTCTACTCACATAGTTGAAATTTCCTTCTGATACTGCAGTTTTGAAACAGTCTTTTTGAGGGATCTTCAAGTGGGCATTTTGAGGGCTTTGGGGACTATTATGGATAAGGAAATATCTTCACATGAAAAGTAGACAGAAGTGTTCTCAGAAACTTCATTTTGATGGGTGCATTCCACTAACAAAGTACAACCTTACTTTTATAGAGCAGTTTTGAAACAGTCTTTTTGTAGACTCTGCAAGTGGATATTTGGAGCGCTTTGAAGCCTTCGTTGGAAACGGGAATATCTTCCCCTTGAAACCAGACAGAAGCATTCTCAGAAACTTCTTTGTGATGTGGGCATTGAACTCACGGAGCTGAACCTTCCTTTGGATTGAGCAGTTTTGAAAAACTCTTCCTTTATAATCTGCAGGTGGATATTTGGAGTGCTTTGAAGCCTTCTTTGGAAACGGGAGTATCGTCACATAAAAATAGACAGAAGTATTCCCAGAAACTTCTTTGTGATTTGTGCATTCAACTCACAGAGTTGAAGCTTCTTTTTGATAGAGCAGTTTTGAAACACCCTTTTTGCACAATCTGCAGGAGGATATTTGGAGCTCTTTGAGTGCTACATTGGAAACGGGAATATCATCACCTAAAAACTAGAAAGAAGCATTCTCTGAAACCACTTTGTGATGTGTGCATTCATCTCACAGAGTTGAACCTTCCTTTTGATAGAGCAGTTTTGAAACCCTCTTTTTGTACAATCTGCAAGTGGATATTTGGAGCAAATTGAAGCCTTCTTTGGAAATGGGAATATCTTAAATCTAAAAATTAGGCAGAAGCATTCTCAGAAACTACTTTGTGATGTGTGCATTCAACTCACAGAATTGAACCTTCCTGTTGATAGAGCAGTTTTGAAACACTCTTTTTTTAGAATCTGCCAGTGGATATTTGGAGCACGTTTATGCCTATGGTAGAAAAGGAAATATCTTCACATAAAAACTAGACAGAAGCATTCTCAGAAACGAATTTGTGTTGTGTGCATTCTACTCCCATAGTTGAAAATTTCTTTTGATAGAGCAGTCTGGAAACACTCTGTTTCTAAAATCTGCAAATGGACATTTGGAGCGCTTTGAAGGTTATGATGGAAAAGGGAATATCTTCGCATTAAAACTAGACAGAAGCATTCTCAGAAACTTCTTTGTGATGTGTGCATTCAACCCCCAGGTTGAACCTTTCTTTTGTTAGAGCAGTTTTGAAACACTCCTTTTGTAGAATCTGCAGGCGGATATTTAAGTACTCTTTGAAGCATTCTTTGGAAACGAGAATATCTTCACCTATAACCTAGACAGAAGCATTCTCAGAAACGTCTTTGTGATGTGTCCACTCAACTCACAGAGTTGATAGAACAGTTTTGATAGAGCAGTTTTGAAACACTCTTTTTAAAGAATCTGCCAGTTCATATGTGCAGTGCTTTGAGGCTGATGGTAGAAAAGGAAATATCTTCCTATAAAAACTAGACAGAAGCATTCTCAGAAACGACTTTGTGATGTGTGCATTCTACACACAAAGTGGAAACTTTCTTTTGATAGAGCAGTTTTGAAACAGTCTTTCCGAAGAATCTTCAAGTGGGCATTTCGAGGGCTTTGAGGACCACGGCGGATAAGGGAATATCTTCACATAAGAAGTAGACAGAAGTATAATCAGAAACTTCATTTTGATGTGTACATTCAACTCACAAAGCAGACCCTTACTTTTGATAGAGAAGTTTTGAAACACTCTTTTTGTAGAATCTGCAATTGGATATTTGGAGCGCTTTCAGGCCTCTGGTAGAAAAGGAAATATCTTCACATAAAAACTAGACAGAAGCATTCTCAGAAACGACTTTGTGATGTGTGTATTCTACTCCCATAGTTGAACATTTCTTTTGATAGAGCCGCCTGAAAACAATCTTCTTCTAGAATCTGCAAGTGGACATTTGGAGCGTTTTGAAGGCTGTGGTTGAAAAGGTAATATCTTCACCTGGAAACTAAATGGAAGCATTCTCCGAAACTTTTTGTGATGTGTGCGTTCAACTCACAGAGCTGAACCTTCCTTTTCTTAGACCAGTTTTGAATCACTCTTTTTGTAGAATCCGCATTCAGATATTTGGAGCGCTTTGAAGACTTCATTGGAATCGCGAATACCTTCACATAAAAACTAGACAGAACCATTCTCAGAAACTTCTTTGAGATGTGTGCATTCAACTCACAGAGCTGAACCTTTCTTTTGATAGTGCAGTTTTGAAACATTCTTTTTAAAAAATCTGCAGTTGGACATTTGGAGCTCTTTTAGGCTATCGGTTGAAAAGGAAATATCTTCACATTAAAACAAGACAGAAGCATTCTCAGAAACTCCTTTATGATGTCTGCATTCAACTCACAGAGTTGAACCTTCCTTTCCATAGAGCAGTTTTGAAACACTCTTTCTGTAGAATCTGGAGGCGGATATTAGGGTGCTTTGAAGCCTTCTTGGGAAACAGGATTATCTTCACATAAAAATTAGACAGAAGCATTCTCAGAAACTTCTTTGTGATGTGTGCATTCAACTCACAGCGTTGAAACTTCCTTTTGCCAGAGCAGTTTTGAAACCCTCTTTTTGAAGAATCTGAAAGTGCATAATTGCAGCACTTTGAGGCTTAAGGTCGAAGAGGAAATATCTTCATATAAAAACTAGACAGAAGCATTCTCAGAAACTACTTTGTGATGTGTGCATTCTACTCACATAGTTGAAATTTCCTTCTGATACTGCAGTTTTGAAACAGTCTTTTTGAGGGATCTTCAAGTGGGCATTTTGAGGGCTTTGGGGACTATTGTGGATAAGGAAATATCTTCACATGAAAAGTAGACAGAAGTGTTCTCAGAAACTTCATTTTGATGGGTGCATTCCACTAAAAAAGTACAACCTTACTTTTATAGAGCAGTTTTGAAACAGTCTTTTTGTAGACTCTGCAAGCGGATATTTGGAGCGCTTTGAAGCCTTCGTTGGAAACGGGAATATCTTCCCCTTGAAACCAGACAGAAGCATTCTCAGAAACTTCTTTGTGATGTGGGCATTGAACTCACGGAGCTGAACCTTCCTTTGGATTGAGCAGTTTTGAAAAACTCTTCCTTTATAATCTGCAGGTGGATATTTGGAGTGCTTTGAAGCCTTCTTTGGAAACGGGAGTATCGTCACATAAAAATAGACAGAAGTATTCCCAGAAACTTCTTTGTGATTTGTGCATTCAACTCACAGAGTTGAAGCTTCTTTTTGATAGAGCAGTTTTGAAACACCCTTTTTGCACAATCTGCAGGAGGATATTTGGAGCTCTTTGAGTGCTACATTGGAAACGGGAATATCGTCACCTGAAAACTAGAAAGAAGCATTCTCTGAAACCACTTTGTGATGTGTGCATTCATCTCACAGAGTTGAACCTTCCTTTTGATAGAGCAGTTTTGAAACCCTCTTTTTGTACAATCTGCAAGTGGATATTTGGAGCAAATTGAAGCCTTCTTTGGAAATGGGAATATCTTAAATCTAAAAATTAGGCAGAAGCATTCTCAGAAACTACTTTGTGATGTGTGCATTCAACTCACAGAATTGAACCTTCCTTTTGATACAGCAGTTTTGAAACACTCTTTTTTTAGAATCGGCAAGTGGATATTTGGAGCACATTTATGCCTGTGGTAGAAAAGGAAATATCTTCACATAAAAACTAGACAGAAGCATTCTCAGAAACGAATTTGTGTTGTGTGCATTCTACTCCCGTAGTTGAAAATTTCTTTTGATAGAGCAGTCTGGAAACACTCTGTTTCTAAAATCTGCAAATGGACATTTGGAGCGCTTTGAAGGTTATGATGGAAAAGGAAATATCTTCGCATTAAAACTAGACAGAAGCATTCTCAGAAACTTCTTTGTGATGTGTGCATTCAACTCCCAGGTTGAACCTTTCTTTTGTTAGAGCAGTTTTGAAACACTCCTTTTGTAGAATCTGCAGGCGGATATTTAAGTACTCTTTGAAGCATTCTTTGGAAACGAGAATATCTTCACCTAAAACCTAGACAGAAGCATTCTCAGAAACATCTTTGTGATGTGTCCATTCATCTCACAGAGGTGATAGAACAGTTTTGATAGAGCAGTTTTGAAACACTCTTTTTAAAGAATCTGCCAGTTCATATGTGCAGTGCTTTGAGGCTTATGGTAGAAAAGGAAATATCTTCCTATAAAAACTAGACAGAAGCATTCTCAGAAACGACTTTGTGATGTGTGCATTCTACACACAAAGTTGAAACTTTCTTTTGATAGAGCAGTTTTGAAACCGTCTTTCCGAAGAATCTTCAAGTGGGCATTTCGAGGGCTTTGAGGACCATTGCGGATAAGGAAATATCTTCCCATAAGAAGTAGACAGAAGTATAATCAGAAACTTCATTTTGATGTGTACATTCAACTCACAAAGCAGACCCTTACTTTTGATAGAGAAGTTTTGAAACACTCTTTTTGTAGAATCTGCAATTGGATGTTTGGAGCGCTTTCAGGCCTCTGGTAGAAAAGGAAATATCTTCACATAAAAACTAGACAGAAGCATTCTCAGAAACGACTTTGTGATGTGTGTATTCTACTCCCATAGTTGAACATTTCTTTTGATAGAGCCGCCTGGAAACAATCTTCTTGTAGAATCTGCAAGTGGACATTTGGAGCGTTTCGAAGGCTGTGGTTGAAAAGGTAATATCTTCACCTAAAAACTAAATGGAAGCATTGTCCGAAACTTTTTGTGATGTGTGCGTTCTACCCCCATAGTGGAACATTTCTTTTGATAGAGCCGCCTGGAAACAATCTTCTTGTAGAATCTGCAAGTGGACATTTGGAGCGTTTCGAAGGCTGTGGTTGAAAAGGTAATATCTTCACCTAAAAACTAAATGGAAGCATTCTCCGAAACTTTTTGGGATGTGTACGTTCAACTCACAGAGCTGAACCTTCCTTTTCATAGACCAGTTTTGAATCACTCTTTTTGTAGAATCCGCATTTAGATATTTGGAGCGCTTTGAAGACTTCATTGGAATCGCGAATACCTTCACATAAAAACTAGACAGAACCATTCTCAGAAACTCCTTTGAGATGTGTGCATTCAACTCACAGAGCTGAACCTTTCTTTTGATAGTGCAGTTTTGAAACATTCTTTTTAAAAAATCTGCAGTTGGACATTTGGAGCTCTTTTAGGCTATCGGTTGAAAAGGAAGTATCTTCACATTAAAACAAGACAGAAGCATTCTCAGAAACTCCTTTATGATGTCTGCATTCAACTCACAGAGTTGAAGCTTCCTTTTCATAGAGCAGTTTTGAAACACTCTTTCTGTAGAATCTGGAGGCGGATATTAGGGTGCTTTGAAGCCTTCTTGGGAAACAGGATTATCTTCACATAAAAATTAGACAGAAGCATTCTCAGAAACTTCTTTGTGATGTGTGCATTCAACTCACAGCGTTGAAACTTCCTTTTGCCAGAGCAGTTTTGAAACCCTCTTTTTGAAGAATCTGAAAGTGCATAATTGCAGCACTTTGAGGCTTAAGGTCAAAAAGGAAATATCTTCATATAAAAACTAGACAGAAGCATTCTCAGAAACTACTTTGTGATGTGTGCATTCTACTCACATAGTTGAAATTTCCTTCTGATACTGCAGTTTTGAAACAGTCTTTTTGAGGGATCTTCAAGTGGGCATTTTGAGGGCTTTGGGGACTATTGTGCATAAGGAAATATCTTCACATGAAAAGTAGACAGAAGTGTTCTCAGAAACTTCATTTTGATGGGTGCATTCAACTAACAAGGTACAACCTTACTTTTATTGAGCAGTTTTGAAACAGTCTTTTTGTAGACTCTGCAAGTGGATATTTGGAGCGCTTTGAAGCCTTCGTTGGAAACGGGAATATCTTCCCCTTGAAACTAGACAGAAGCATTCTCAGAAACTTCTTTGTGATGTGGGCATTGAACTCACGGAGCTGAACCTTCCTTTGGATTGAGCAGTTTTGAAAAACTCTTCCTTTATAATCTGCAGGTGGATATTTGGAGTGCTTTGAAGCCTTTCTTTGGAAACGGGAGTATCGTCACATAAAAATAGACAGAAGTATTCCCAGAAACTTCTTTGTGATTTGTGCATTCAACTCACAGAGTTGAAGCTTCTTTTTGATAGAGCAGTTTTGAAACACCCTTTTTGCACAATCTGCAGGAGGATATTTGGAGCTCTTTGAGTGTTACATTGGAAACGGGAATATCGTCACCTAAAAACTAGAAAGAAGCATTCTCTGAAACCACTTTGTGATGTGTGCATTCATCTCACAGAGTTGAACCTTCCTTTTGATAGAGCAGTTTTGAAACCCTCTTTTTGTACAATCTGCAAGTGGATATTTGGAGCAAATTGAAGCCTTCTTTGGAAATGGGAATATCTTAAAATTAAAAATTAGACAGAAGCATTCTCAAAAACTACTTTGTGATGTGTGCATTCAACTCACAGAATTGAACCTTCCTTTTGATAGAGCAGTTTTGAAACACTCTTTTTTTAGAATCTGCCAGTGGATATTTGGAGCACGTTTATGCCTATGGTAGAAAAGGAAATATCTTCACATAAAAACTAGACAGAAGCATTCTCAGAAACGAATTTGTGATGTGTGCATTCTACTCCCATAGTTGAAAATTTCTTTCGATAGAGCAGCATGGAAACACTCTGTTTGTAAAATCTGCAAATGGACATTTGGAGCGCTTTGAAGGTTATGGTGGAAAAGGGAATATCTTCGCATTAAAACTAGACAGAAGCATTCTCAGAAACTTCTTTGTGATGTGTGCATTCAACTCGCAGGTTGAAACTTTCTTTTGTTAGAGCAGTTTTGAAACACTCCTTTTGTAGAATCTGCAGGCGGATATTTAAGTACTCTTTGAAGCATTCTTTGGAAACGAGAATATCTTCACATGAAACCTAGACAGAAGCATTCTCAGAAACGTCTTTGTGATGTGTCCATTCAACTCACAGAGTTGATAGAACAGTTTTGATAGAGCAGTTTTGAAACACTCTTTTTAAAGAATCTGCCAGTTCATATTTGCCGTGCTTTGAGGCTTATGGTAGAAAAGGAAATATCTTCCTATAAAACCTAGACAGAAGCATTCTCAGAAACGACTTTGTGATGTGTGCATTCTACACACAAAGTTGAAACTTTCTTTTGATAGAGCAGTTTTGAAACAGTCTTTCCCAAGAATCTTCAAGTGGGCATTTCGAGGGCTTTGAGGACCATTGCGGATAAGGAAATATCTTCCCATAAGAAGTAGACAGAAGTATAATCAGAAACTTCATTTTGATGTGTACATTCAACTCACAAAGCAGACCCTTACTTTTGATAGAGAAGTTTTGAAACAGTCTTTTTGTAGAATCTGCAATTGGATGTTTGGAGCGCTTTCAGGCCTCTGGTAGAAAAGGAAATATCTTCACATAAAAACTAGACAGAAGCATTCTCAGAAACGACTTTGTGATGTGTGTATTCTACTCCCATAGTTGAACATTTCTTTTGAAAGAGCCGCCTGGAAACAATCTTCTTGTAGAATCTGCAAGTGGACATTTGGAGCGTTTCGAAGGCTGTGGTTGAAAAGGTAATATCTTCACCTGAAAACTAAATGGAAGCATTGTCCGAAACTTTTTGTGATGTGTGCGTTCAACTCACAGAGCTGAACCTTCCTTTTCATAGACCATTTTTGAATCACTCTTTTTGTAGAATCCGCATTTAGATATTTGGAGCGCTTTGAAGACTTCATTGGAATCGCGAATACCTTCACATAAAAACTAGACAGAACCATTCTCAGAAACTTCTTTGAGATGTGTGCATTCAACTCACAGAGCTGAACCTTTCTTTTGATAGTGCAGTTTTGAAACATTCTTTTTAAAAAATCTGCAGTTGGACATTTGGAGCTCTTTTAGGCTATCGGTTGAAAAGGAAATATCTTCACATTAAAACAAGACAGAAGCATTCTCAGAAACTCCTTTATGATGTCTGCATTCAACTCACAGAGTTGAACCTTCCTTTCCATAGAGCAGTTTTGAAACACTCTTTCTGTAGAATCTGGAGACAGATATTAGGGTGCTTTGAAGCCTTCTTGGGAAACAGGATTATCTTCACATAAAAATTAGACAGAAGCATTCTCAGAAACTTCTTTGTGATGTGTGCATTCAACTCACAGCGTTGAAACTTCCTTTTGCTAGAGCAGTTTTGAAACCCTCTTTTTGAAGAATCTGAAAGTGCATAAATGCAGCACTTTGAGGCTTAAGGTAGAAAAGGAAATATCTTCATATAAAAACTAGACAGAAGCATTCTCAGAAACTACTTTGTGATGTGTGCATTCTACTCACATAGTTGAAATTTCCTTCTGATACTGCAGTATTGAAACCGTCTTTTTGAGGAATCTTCCAGTGGGCATTTTGAGGGCTTTGGGGACTATTGTGGATAAGGAAATATCTTCACATGAAAAGTAGACAGAAGTGTTCTCAGAAACTTCATTTTAATGGGTGCATTCCACTAACAAAGTACAACCTTACTTTTATAGAGCAGTTTTGAAACAGTCTTTTTGTAGACTCTGCAAGTGGATATTTGGAGCGCTTTGAAGCCTTCGTTGGAAACGGGAATATCTTCCCCTTGAAACTAGACAGAAGCATTCTCAGAAACTTCTTTGTGATGTGGGCATTGAACTCACGGAGCTGAACCTTCCTTTGGATTGAGCAGTTTTGACAAACTCTTCCTTTATAATCTGCAGGTGGATATTTGGAGTGCTTTGAAGCCTTCTTTGGAAACGGGAGTATCGTCACATAAAAATAGACAGAAGTATTCCCAGAAACTTCTTTGTGATTTGTGCATTCAACTCACAGAGTTGAAGCTTCTTTTTGATAGAGCAGTTTTGAAACACCCTTTTTGCACAATCTGCAGGAGGATATTTGGAGCTCTTTGAGTGCTACATTGGAAACGGGAATATCGTCACCTGAAAACTAGAAACAAGCATTCTCTGAAACCACTTTGTGATGTGTGCATTCATCTCACAGAGTTGAACCTTCCTTTTGATAGAGCAGTTTTGAAACCCTCTTTTTGTACAATCTGCAAGTGGATATTTGGAGCAAATTGAAGCCTTCTTTGGAAATGGGAATATCCTAAATCTAAAAATTAGGCAGAAGCATTCTCAGAAACTACTTTGTGATGTGTGCATTCAACTCACAGAATTGAACCTTCCTTTTGATACAGCAGTTTTGAAACACTCTTTGTTTAGAATCTGCAAGTGGATATTTGGAGCACATTTATGCCTGTGGTAGAAAAGGAAATATCTTCACATAAAAACTAGACAGAAGCATTCTCAGAAACGAATTTGTGTTGTGTGCATTCTACTCCCATAGTTGAAAATTTCTTTTGATAGAGCAGTCTGGAAACACTCTGTTTCTAAAATCTGCAAATGGACATTTGGAGCGCTTTGAAGGTTATGATGGAAAAGGGAATATCTTCGCATTAAAACTAGACAGAAGCATTCTCAGAAACTTCTTTGTGATGTGTGCATTCAACTCCCAGGTTGAACCTTTCTTTTGTTAGAGCAGTTTTGAAACACTCCTTTTGTAGAATCTGCAGGCGGATATTTAAGTACTCTTTGAAGCATTCTTTGGAAACGAGAATATCTTCACCTAAAACCTAGACAGAAGCATTCTCAGAAACATCTTTGTGATGTGTCCATTCATCTCACAGAGTTCATAGAACAGTTTTGATAGAGCAGTTTTGAAACACTCTTTTTAAAGAATCTGCCAGTTCATATGTGCAGTGCTTTGAGGCTTATGGTAGAAAAGGAAATATCTTCCTGTAAAAACTAGACAGAAGCATTCTCAGAAACGACTTTGTGATGTGTGCATTCTACACACAAAGTTGAAACTTTCTTTTGATAGAGCAGTTTTGAAACAGTCTTTCCGAAGAATCTTCAAGTGGGCATTTCGAGGGCTTTGAGGACCATTGCGGATAAGGAAATATCTTCCCATAAGAAGTAGACAGAACTATAATCAGAAACTTCATTTTGATGTGTACATTCAACTCACAAAGCAGACCCTTACTTTTGATAGAGAAGTTTTGAAACACTCTTTTTGTAGAATCTGCAATTGGATATTTGGAGCGCTTTCAGGCCTCTGGTAGAAAAGGAAATATCTTCACATAAAAACTAGACAGAAGCATTCTCAGAAACGACTTTGTGATGTGTGTATTCTACTCCCATAGTTGAACATTTCTTTTGATAGAGCCGCCTGGAAACAATCTTCTTGTAGAATCTGCAAGTGGACATTTGGAGCGTTTTGAAGGCTGTGGTTGAAAAAGTAATATCTTCACCCAAAAACTAAATGGAAGCATTGTCCGAAACTTTTTGTGATGTGTGCGTTCAACTCACAGAGCTGAACCTTCCTTTTCTTAGACCAGTTTTGAATCACTCTTTTTGTAGAATCCGCATTTAGATATTTGGAGCGCTTTGAAGACTTCATTGGAATCGCGAATACCTTCACATAAAAACTAGACAGAACCATTCTCAGAAACTTCTTTGAGATGTGTGCATTCAACTCACAGAGCTGAACCTTTCTTTTGATAGTGCAGTTTTGAAACATTCTTTTTAAAAAATCTGCAGTTGGACATTTGGAGCTCTTTTAGGCTATCGGTTGAAAAGGAAATATCTTCACATTAAAAGAAGACAGAAGCATTCTCAGAAACTCCTTTATGATGTCTGCATTCAACTCACAGAGTTGAACCTTCCTTTCCATAGAGCAGTTTTGAAACACTCTTTCTGTAGAATCTGGAGGCGGATATTAGGGTGCTTTGAAGCCTTCTTGGGAAACAGGATTATCTTCACATAAAAATTAGACAGAAGCATTCTCAGAAACTTCTTTGTGATGTGTGCATTCAACTCACAGCGTTGAAACTTCCTTTTGCCAGAGCAGTTTTGAAACCCTCTTTTTGAAGAATCTGAAAGTGCATAATTGCAGCACTTTGAGGCTTAAGGTCGAAAAGGAAATATCTTCATATAAAAACTAGACAGAAGCATTCTCAGAAACTACTTTGTGATGTGTGCATTCTACTCACATAGTTGAAATTTCCTTCTGATACTGCAGTTTTGAAACAGTCTTTTTGAGGGATCTTCAAGTGGGCATTTTGAGGGCTTTGGGGACTATTGTGGATAAGGAAATATCTTCACATGAAAAGTAGACAGAAGTGTTCTCAGAAACTTCATTTTGATGGGTGCATTCCACTAACAAAGTACAACCTTACTTTTATAGAGCAGTTTTGAAACAGTCTTTTTGTAGACTCTGTAAGTGGATATTTGGAGCGCTTTGAAGCCTTCGTTGGAAACGGGAATATCTTCCCCTTGAAACTAGACAGAAGCATTCTCAGAAACTTCTTTGTGATGTGGGCATTGAACTCACGGAGCTGAACCTTCCTTTGGATTGAGCAGTTTTGAAAAACTCTTCCTTTATAATCTGCAGGTGGATATTTGGAGTGCTTTGAAGCCTTCTTTGGAAACGGGAGTATCGTCACATAAAAATAGACAGAAGTATTCCCAGAAACTTCTTTGTGATTTGTGCATTCAACTCACAGAGTTGAAGCTTCTTTTTGATAGAGCAGTTTTGAAACACCCTTTTTGCACAATCTGCAGGAGGATATTTGGAGCTCTTTGAGTGCTACATTGGAAACGGGAATATCGTCACCTAAAAACTAGAAAGAAGCATTCTCTGAAACCACTTTGTGATGTGTGCATTCATCTCACAGAGTTGAACCTTCCTTTTGATAGAGCACTTCTGAAACCCTCTTTTTGTACAATCTGCAAGTGGATATTTGGAGCAAATTGAAGCCTTCCTTGGAAATGGGAATATCTTAAATCTAAAAATTCGGCAGAAGCATTCTCAGAAACTACTTTGTGATGTGTGCATTCAACTCACAGAATTGAACCTTCCTTTTGATACAGCAGTTTTGAAACACTCTTTGTTTAGAATCTGCAAGTGGATATTTGGAGCACATTTATGCCTGTGGTAGAAAAGGAAATATCTTCACATAAAAACTAGACAGAAGCATTCTCAGAAACGAATTTGTGTTGTGTGCATTCTACTCCCATAGTTGAAAATTTCTTTTGATAGAGCAGTCTGGAACCACTCTGTTTCTAAAATCTGCAAATGGACATTTGGAGCGCTTTGAAGGTTATGATGGAAAAGGGAATATCTTCGCATTAAAACTAGACAGAAGCATTCTCAGAAAGTTGTTTGTGATGTGTGCATTCAACTCCCAGGTTGAACCTTTCTTTTGTTAGAGCAGTTTTGAAACACTCCTTTTGTAGAATCTGCAGGCGGATATTTAATTACTATTTGAAGCATTCTTTGGAAATGAGAATATCTTCACCTAAAACCTAGACGGAAGCATTCTCAGAAACGTCTTTGTGATGTGTCCACTCAACTCACAGAGTTGATAGAACAGTTTTGATAGAGGAGTTTTGAAACACTCTTTTTGAAGAATGTGCCAGTTCATATGTGCAGTGCTTTGAGGCTTATGGTAGAAAAGGAAATATCTTCATATAAAAACTAGACAGAAGCATTCTCAGAAACGACTTTGTGATGTGTGCATCCTACACACAAAGTGGAAACTTTCTTTTGATAGAGCAGTTTTGAAACAGTCTTTCCGAAGAATCTTCAAGTGGGCATTTCGAGGGCTTTGAGGACCATTGCGGATAAGGAAATATCTTCCCATAAGAAGTAGACAGAAGTATAATCAGAAACTTCATTTTGATGTGTACATTCAACTCACAAAGCAGACCCTTACTTTTGATAGAGAAGTTTTGAAACACTCTTTTTGTAGAATCTGCAATTGGATATTTGGAGCGCTTTCAGGCCTCTGGTAGAAAAGGAAATATCTTCACATAAAAACTAGACAGAAGCATTCTCAGAAACGACTTTGTGATGTGTGTATTCTACTCCCATAGTTGAACATTTCTTTTGATAGAGCCGCCTGGAAACAATCTTCTTGTACAATCTGCAAGTGGACATTTTGAGCGTTTCGAAGGCTGTGGTTGAAAAGGTAATATCTTCACCTAAAAACTAAATGGAAGCATTGTCCGAAACGTTTTGTGATGTGTGCGTTCAACTCACAGAGCTGAACCTTCCTTTTCATTGACCAGTTTTGAATCACTCTTTTTGTAGAATCCGCATTTAGATATTTGAAGCGCTTTGAAGACTTCATTGGAATCGCGAATCCCTTCACATAAAAACTAGACAGAACCATTCTCAGAAACTTCTTTGAGATGTGTGCATTCAACTCACAGAGCTGAACCTTTCTTTTGATAGTGCAGTTTTGAAACATTCTTTTTAAAAAATCTGCAGTTGGACATTTGGAGCTCTTTTAGGCTATCGGTTGAAAAGGAAATATCTTCACATTTAAACAAGACAGAAGCATTCTCAGAAACTCCTTTATGATGTCTGCATTCAACTCACAGAGTTGAACCTTCCTTTCCATAGAGCAGTTTTGAAACACTCTTTCTGTAGAATCTGGAGGCGGATATTAGGGTGCTTTGAAGCCTTCTTGGGAAACAGGATTATCTTCACATAAAAATTAGACAGAAGCATTCTCAGAAACTTCTTTGTGATGTGTGCATTCAACTCACAGCGTTGAAACTTCCTTTTGCCAGAGCAGTTTTGAAACCCTCTTTTTGAAGAATCTGAAAGTGCATAATTGCAGCACTTTGAGGCTTAAGGTCGAAAAGGAAATATCTTCATATAAAAACTAGACAGAAGCATTCTCAGAAACTACTTTGTGATGTGTGCATTCTGCTCATATAGTTGAAATTTGCTTCTGATACTGCAGTTTTGAAACAGTCTTTTTGAGGGATCTTCAAGTGGGCATTTTGAGGGCTTTGGGGACTATTGTGGATAAGGAAATATCTTCACATGAAAAGTAGACAGAAGTGTTCTCAGAAACTTCATTTTGATGGGTGCATTCAACTAACAAAGTACAACCTTACTTTTATAGAGCAGTTGTGAAACAGTCTTTTTGTAGACTCTGCAAGTGGATATTTGGAGCGCTTTGAAGCCTTCGTTGGAAACGGGAATATCTTCCCATTGAAACTAGACAGAAGCATTCTCAGAAACTTCTTTGTGATGTGGGCATTGAACTCACGGAGCTGAACCTTCCTTTGGATTGAGCAGTTTTGAAAAACTCTTCCTTTATAATCTGCAGGTGGATATTTGGAGTGCTTTGAAGCCTTCTTTGGAAACGGGAGTATCGTCACATAAAAATAGACAGAAGTATTCTCAGAGACTTCTTTGTGATATGTGCATTCAACTCACAGAGTTGAAGCTTCTTTTTGATAGAGCAGTTTTGAAACACCCTTTTTGCACAATCTGCAGGAGGATATTTGGAGCTCTTTGAATGCTACATTGGAAACGGGAATATCGTCACCGAAAAACTAGAAAGAAGCATTCTCTGAAACCACTTTGTGATGTGTGCATTCATCTCACAGAGTTGAACCTTCCTTTTGATAGAGCAGTTTTGAAACCCTCTTTTTGTACAATCTGCAAGTGGATATTTGGAGCAAATTGAAGCCTTCTTTGGAAATGGGAATATCTTAAATCTAAAAATTAGGCAGAAGCATTCTCAGAAACTACTTTGTGATGTGTGCATTCAACTCACAGAATTGAACCTTCCTTTTGATACAGCAGTTTTGAAACACTCTTTGTTTAGAATCTGCAAGTGGATATTTGGAGCACATTTATGCCTGTGGTAGAAAAGGAAATATCTTCACATAAAAACTAGACAGAAGCATTCTCAGAAACGAATTTGTGTTGTGTGCATTCTACTCCCATAGTTGAAAATTTCTTTTGATAGAGCAGTCTGGAAACACTCTGTTTCTAAAATCTGCAAATGGACATTTGGAGCACTTTGAAGGTTATGATGGAAAAGGGAATATCTTCGCATTAAAACTAGACAGAAGCATTCTCAGAAACTTCTTTGTGATGTGTGCATTCAACTCCCAGGTTGAACCTTTCTTTTGTTAGAGCAGTTTTGAAACACTCCTTTTGTAGAATCTGCAGGCGGATATTTAAGTACTATTTGAAGCATTCTTTGGAAACGAGAATATCTTCACCTAAAACCTAGACAGAAGCATTCTCAGAAAAGTCTTTGTGATGTGTCCATTCAACTCACAGAGTTGATAGAACAGTTTTGATAGAGCAGTTTTGAAACACTCTTTTTAAAGAATCTGCCAGTTCATATGTGCAGTGATTTGAGGCTTATGGTAGTAAAGGAAATATCTTCATATAAAAACTAGACAGAAGCATTCTCAGAAACGACTTTGTGATGTGTGCATTCTACACACAAAGTGGAAACTTTCTTTTGAGAGAGCAGTTTTGAAACAGTCTTTCCGAAGAATCTTCAAGTGGGCATTTCGAGGGCTTTGAGGACCATTGCGGATAAGGAAATATCTTCACATAAGAAGTAGACAGAAGTATAATCAGAAACTTCATTTTGATGTGTACATTCAACTCACAAAGCAGACCCTTACTTTTGATAGAGAAGTTTTGAAACACTCTTTCTGTAGAATCTGCAATTGGATATTTGGAGCGCTTTCAGGCCTCTGGTAGAAAAGGAAATATCTTCACATAAAAACTAGAAAGAAGCATTCTCAGAAACGACTTTGTGATGTGTGTATTCTACTCCCATAGTTGAACATTTCTTTTGATAGAGCAGCCTGGAAACAATCTTCTTGTAGAATCTGCAAGTGGACATTTGGAGCGTCTTGAAGGCTGTGGGTGAAAAGGTAATATCTTCACCTAAAAACTAAATGGAAGCATTGTCCGAAACGTTTTGTGATGTGTGCGTTCAACTCACAGAGCTGAACCTTCCTTTTCATAGACCAGTTTTGAATCACTCTTTTTGTAGAATCCGCATTTAGATATTTGGAGCGCTTTGAAGAATTCATTGGAATCGCGAATACCTTCACATAAAAACTAGACAGAACCATTCTCAGAAACTTCTTTGAGATGTGTGCATTCACCTCACAGAGCTGAACCTTTCTTTTGATAGTGCAGTTTTCAAACATTCTTTTTAAAAAATCTGCAGTTGGACATTTGGAGCTCTTTTAGGCTATCGGTTGAAAAGGAAATATCTTCACATTAAAACAAGACAGAAGCATTCTCAGAAACTCCTTTATGATGTCTGCATTCAACTCACAGAGTTGAACCTTCCTTTTCATAGAGCAGTTTTGAAACACTCTTTCTGTAGAATCTGGAGGCGGATATTAGGGTGCTTTGAAGCCTTCTTGGGAAACAGGATTATCTTCACATAAAAATTAGACAGAAACATTCTCAGAAACTTCTTTGTGATGTGTGCATTCAACTCACAGCGTTGAACCTTCCTTTTGCCAGAGCAGTTTTGAAACCCTCTTTTTGAAGAATCTGAAAGTGCATAATTGCAGCACTTTGAGGCTTAAGGTCGAAAAGGAAATATCTTCATATAAAAACTAGACAGAAGCATTCTCAGAAACTACTTTGTGATGTGTGCATTCTACTCACATAGTTGAAATTTCCTTCTGATACTGCAGTTTTGAAACAGTCTTTTTGAGGGATCTTCAAGTGGGCATTTTGAGGGTTTTGGGGACTATTGTGGATAAGGAAATATCTTCACATGAAAAGTAGACAGAAGTGTTCTCAGAAACTTCATTTTGATGGGTGCATTCCACTAACAAAGTACAACCTTACTTTTATAGAGCAGTTTTGAAACAGTTTTTTTGTAGACTCTGCAAGTGGATATTTGGAGCGCTTTGAAGCCTTCGTTGGAAACGGGAATATCTTCCCCTTGAAACTAGACAGAAGCATTCTCAGAAACTTCTTTGTGATGTGGGCATTGAACTCACGGAGCTGAACCTTCCTTTGGATTGAGCAGTTTTGAAAAACTCTTCCTTTATAATCTGCAGGTGGATATTTGGAGTGCTTTGAAGCCTTCTTTGGAAACGGGAGTATCGTCACATAAAAATAGACAGAAGTATTCCCAGAAACTTCTTTGTGATTTGTGCATTCAACTCACAGAGTTGAAGCTTCTTTTTGATAGAGCAGTTTTGAAACACCCTTTTTGCACAATCTGCAGGAGGATATTTGGAGCTCTTTGAGTGCTACATTGGAAACGGGAATATCGTCACCTGAAAACTAGAAAGAAGTATTCTCTGAAACCACTTTGTGATGTGTGCATTCATCTCACAGAGTTGAACCTTCCTTTTGATAGAGCAGTTTTGAAACCCTCTTTTTGTACAATCTGCAAGTGGATATTTGGAGCAAATTGAAGCCTTCTTTGGAAATGGGAATATCCTAAATCTAAAAATTAGGCAGAAGCATTCTCAGAAACTACTTTGTGATGTGTGCATTCAACTCACAGAATTGAACCTTCCTTTTGATAGAGCAGTTTTGAAACACTCTTTTTTTAGAATCTGCCAGTGGATATTGGAGCACGTTTATGCCTATGGTAGAAAAGGAAATATCTTCACATAAAAACTAGACAGAAGCATTCTCAGAAACGAATTTGTGATGTGTGCATTCTACTCCCATAGTTGAAAATTTCTTTTGGTAGAGCAGTCTGGAAACACTCTGTTTGTAAAATCTGCAAATGGACATTTGGAGCGCTTTGAAGGTTATGGTGGAAGAGGGAATATCTTCGCATTAAAACTAGACAGAAGCATTCTCAGAAACTTCTTTGTGATGTGTGCATTCAACTCCCAGGTTGAACCTTTCTTTTGTTAGAGCAGTTTTGAAACACTCCTTTTGTAGAATCTGCAGGCGGATATTTAAGTACTATTTGAAGCATTCTTTGGAAACGAGAATATCTTCACCTAAAACCTAGACAGAAGCATTCTCAGAAACATCTTTGTGATGTGTCCATTCATCTCACAGAGTTGATAGAACAGTTTTGATAGAGCAGTTTTGAAACACTCTTTTTAAAGAATCTCCCAGTTCATATGTGCAGTGCTTTGAGGCTTATGGTAGAAAAGGAAATATCTTCCTATAAAAACTAGACAGAAGCATTCTCAGAAACGACTTTGTGATGTGTGCATTCTACACACAAAGTGGAAACTTTCTTTTGAGAGAGCAGTTTTGAAACAGTCTTTCCGAAGAATCTTCATGTGGGCATTTCGAGGGCTTTGAGGACCATTGCGGATAAGGAAATATCTTCACATAAGAAGTAGACAGAAGTATAATCAGAAACTTCATTTTGATGTGTACCTTCAACTCACAAAGCAGACACTTACTTTTGATAGAGAAGTTTTGAAACACTCTTTTTGTAGAATCAGCAATTGGACATTTGGAGCGCTTTCAGGCCTCTGGTTGAAAAGGAAATATCTTCACATAAAAACTAGACAGAAGCATTCTCAGAAACGACTTTGTGATGTGTGTATTCTACTCCCATAGTTGAACATTTCTTTTGATAGAGCCGCCTGGAAACAATCTTCTTGTAGAATCTGCAAGTGGACATTTGGATCGTTTCGAAGGCTGTGGTTGAAAAGGTAATATCTTCACCTAAAAACTAAATGGAAGCATTGCCCGAAACGTTTTGTGATGTGTGCGTTCAACTCACAGAGCTGAACCTTCCTTTTCATAGACCAGTTTTGAATCACTCTTTTTGTAGAATCCGCATTTAGATATTTGGAGCGCTTTGAAGACTTCATTGGAATCGCGAATACCTTCACATAAAAACTAGACAGAACCATTCTCAGAAACTTCTTTGAGATGTGTGCATTCAACTCACAGAGCTGAACCTTTCTTTTGATAGTGCAGTTTTGAAACATTCTTTTTAAAAAATCTGCAGTTGGACATTTGGAGCTCTTTTAGGCTATCGGTTGAAAAGGAAATATCTTCACATTAAAACAAGACAGAAGCATTCTCAGAAACTCCTTTATGATGTCTGCATTCAACTCACAGAGTTGAACCTTCCTTTTCATAGAGCAGTTTTGAAACACTCTTTCTGTAGAATCTGGAGGCGGATATTAGGGTGCTTTGAAGCCTTCTTGGGAAACAGGATTATCTTCACATAAAAATTAGACAGAAGCATTCTCAGAAACTTCTTTGTGATGTGTGCATTCAACTCACAGCGTTGAAACTTCCTTTTGCCAGAGCAGTTTTGAAACCCTCTTTTTGAAGAATCTGAAAGTGCATAATTGCAGCACTTTGAGGCTGAAGGTCAAAAAGGAAATATCTTCTTATAAAAACTAGACAGAAGCATTCTCAGAAACTACTTTGTGATGTGTGCATTCTACTCACATAGTTGAAATTTCCTTCTGATACTGCAGTTTTGAAACAGTCTTTTTGAGGGATCTTCAAGTGGGCATTTTGAGGGCTTTGGGGACTATTGTGGATAAGGAAATATCTTCACATGAAAAGTAGACAGAAGTGTTCTCAGAAACTTCATTTTGATGGGTGCATTCCACTAACAAAGTACAACCTTACTTTTATAGAGCAGTTTTGAAACAGTCTTTTTGTAGACTCTGCAAGTGGATATTTGGAGCGCTTTGAAGCCTTCGTTGGAAACGGGAATATCTTCCCATTGAAACTAGACAGAAGCATTCTCAGAAACTTCTTTGTGATGTGGGCATTGAACTCACGGAGCTGAACCTTCCTTTGGATTGAGCAGTTTTGAAAAACTCTTCCTTTATAATCTGCAGGTGGATATTTGGAGTGCTTTGAAGCCTTCTTTGGAAACGGGAGTATCGTCACATAAAAATAGACAGAAGTATAATCAGAAACTTCATTTTGATGTGTACATTCAACTCACAAAGCAGACCCTTACTTTTGATAGAGAAGTTTTGAAACACTCTTTTTGTAGAATCTGCAATGGGATGTTTGGAGCGCTTTCAGGCCTCTGGTAGAAAAGGAAATATCTTCACATAAAAACTAGACAGAAGCATTCTCAGAAACGACTTTGTGATGTGTGGATTCATCTCACAGAGTTGAACCTTCCTTTTGATAGAGCAGTTTTGAAACCCTCTTTTTGTACAATCTGCAAGTGGATATTTGGAGCAAATTGAAGCCTTCTTTGGAAATGGGAATATCTTAAAACTAAAAATTAAGCAGAAGCATTGTCAGAAACTACTTTTGATGTGTGCATTCAACTCACAGAATTGAACCTTCCTTTTGATGGAGCAGTTTTGAAACACTCTTTTTTTAGAATCTGCAAGCGGATATTTGGAGCACATGTATGCCTACGGTAGAAAAGGAAATATCTTCACATAAAAACTAGACAGAAGCATTCTCAGAAACGCATTTGTGATGTGTGCATTCTACTCCCATAGTTGAAAATTTCTTTTGATAGAGCAGTCTGGAAACACTCTGTTTGTAAGATCTGCAAATGGACATTTGGAGCGCTTTGAAGGTTATGGTGGAGAAGGGAATATCTTCGCATTAAAACTAGACAGAAGCATCCTCAGAAACTTCTTTGTGATGCGTGCATTCAACTCCCAGGTTGAAACTTTCTTTTGTTAGAGCAGTTTTGAACCACTCCTTTTTTTAGAATCTGCAGGAGGATACTTAAGTACTCTTTGAAGCATTCTTTGGAAACGAGAACATCTTCACATAAAACCTAGACAGAAGCATTCTCAGAAACGTCTTTGTGATGTGTCCATTCAACTCACAGGGTTGATAGAACAGTTTTGATAGAGCATTTCTGAAACACTCTTTTTGAAGAATCTGCCAGTTCATATTTGCCGTGCTTTGAGGCTTATGGTAGAAAAGGAAATATCTTCCTATAAAAACTAGACAGAAGCATTCTCAGAAACGACTTTGTGATGTGTGTATTCTACACACAAAGTTGAAACTTTCTTTTGATAGAGCAGTTTTGAAACAGTCTTTCCGAAGAATCTTCAAGTGGGCATTTCGAGGGCTTTGAGAACCATTGCGGATAAGGAAATATCTTCCCATAAGAAGTAGACAGAAGTATAATCAGAAACTTCATTTTGATGTGTACATTCAACTCACAAAGCAGACCCTTACTTTTGATAGAGAAGGTTTGAAACACTCTTTTTGTAGAATCTGCAATTGGATATTTGGAGCGCTTTCAGGCCTCTGGTAGAAAAGGAAATATCTTCACATAAGAACTAGACAGAAGCATTCTCAGAAACGACTTTGTGATGTGTGTATTCTACTCCCATAGTTGAACATTTCTTTTGATAGAGCCGCCTGGAAACAATCTTCTTGTAGAATCTGCAAGTGGACATTTGGAGCGTTTTGAAGGCTGTGGTTGAAAAGGTAATATCTTCACCTAAAAACTAAATGGGAGCATTGTCCGAAACTTTTTGTGATGTGTGCGTTCAACTCACAGAGCTGAACCTTCCTTTTCTTAGACCAGTTTTGAATCACTCTTTTTGTAGAATCCGCATTTAGATATTTGGAGCGCTTTGAAGACTTCATTGGAATCGCGAATACCTTCACATAAAAACTAGACAGAACCATTCTCAGAAACTCCTTTGAGATGTGTGCATTCAACTCACAGAGCTGGACCTTTCTTTTGATAGTGCAGTTTTGAAACATTCTTTTTAAAAAATCTGCAGTTGGACATTTGGAGCTCTTTTAGGCTATCGGTTGAAAAGGAAGTATCTTCACATTAAAACAAGACAGAAGCATTCTCAGAAACTCCTTTATGATGTCTGCATTCAACTCACAGAGTTGAACCTTCCTTTTGATAGAGCAGTTTTGAAACACTCTTTCTGTAGAATCTGGAGGCGGATATTAGGGTGCTTTGAAGCCTTCTTGGGAAACAGGATTATCTTCACATAAAAATTAGACAGAAGCATTCTCAGAAACTTCTTTGTGATGTGTGCATTCAACTCACAGCGTTGAAACTTCCTTTTGCTAGAGCAGTTTTGAAACCCTCTTTTTGAAGAATCTGAAAGTGCATAATTGCAGCACTTTGAGGCTTAAGGTCGAAAAGGAAATATCTTCATATAAAAACTAGACAGAAGCATTCTCAGAAACTACTTTGTGATGTGTGCATTCTACTCACATAGTTGAAATTTCCTTCTGATACTGCAGTATTGAAACCGTCTTTTTGAGGAATCTTCCAGTGGGCATTTTGAGGGCTTTGGGGACTATTGTGGATAAGGAAATATCTTCACATGAAAAGTAGACAGAAGTGTTCTCAGAAACTTCATTTTGATGGGTGCATTCAAGTAACAAAGTACAACCTTACTTTTATAGAGCAGTTGTGAAACAGTCTTTTTGTAGACTCTGCAAGTGGATATTTGGAGCGCTTTGAAGCCTTCGTTGGAAACGGGAATATCTTCCCATTGAAACTAGACAGAAGCATTCTCAGAAACTTCTTTGTGATGGGGGCATTGAACTCACGGAGCTGAACCTTCCTTTGGATTGAGCAGTTTTGAATAACTCTTCCTTTATAATCTGCAGGTGGATATTTGGAGTGCTTTGAAGCCTTCTTTGGAAACGGGAGTATCGTCACCTAAAAATAGACAGAAGTATTCTCAGAGACTTCTTTGTGATTTGTGCATTCAACTCACAGAGTTGAAGCTTCTTTTTGATAGAGCAGTTTTGAAACACCCTTTTTGCACAATCTGCAGGAGGATATTTGGAGCTCTTTGAATGCTACATTGGAAACGGGAATATCGTCACCGAAAAACTAGAAAGAAGCATTCTCAGAAACCAGTTTGTGGTGTGTGCTTTCAACTTCGTTGAACCTTCGTTTTGATAGAGCAGTTTTGAAATTCTTATTTTGTAGAATCTGCAAGTGGATATTTGGAACGTATTGAAGCCTTCATTGAAAATGGGAATATCTTCACATAAAAACTAGAGAGAAGCATTCTCAGAAACTACTTTGTGATGTGTGCATTCAACTCACAGAATTGAACCTTCCTTTTGATAGAGCAGTTTTGAAACACTCTTTTTTTAGAATCTGCCAGTGGATATTTGGAGCACGTTTATGCCTATGGTAGAAAAGGAAATATCTTCACATAAAAACTAGACAGAAGCATTCTCAGAAACGAATTTGTGATGTGTGCATTCTACTCCCATAGTTGAAAATTTCTTTTGGTAGAGCAGTCTGGAAACACTCTGTTTGTAAAATCTGCAAATGGACATTTGGAGCGCTTTGAAGGTTATGGTGGAAGAGGGAATATCTTCGCATTAAAACTAGACAGAAGCATTCTCAGAAACTTCTTTGTGATGTGTGCATTCAACTCCCAGGTTGAACCTTTCTTTTGTTAGAGCAGTTTTGAAACACTCCTTTTGTAGAATCTGCAGGCGGATATTTAAGTACTCTTTGAAGCATTCTTTGGAAACGAGAATATCTTCATCTAAAACCTAGACAGAAGCATTCTCAGAAACGTCTTTGTGATGTGTCCACTCAACTCACAGAGTTGATAGAACAGTTTTGATAGAGCAGTTTTGAAACACTCTTTTTGAAGAATCTGCCAGTTCATATGTGCAGTGCTTTGAGGCTTATGGTAGAAAAGGAAATATCTTCATATAAAAACTAGACAGAAGCATTCTCAGGAACGACTTTGTGATGTGTGCATTGTACACACAAAGTTGAAACTTTCTTTTGATAGAGCAGTTTTGAAACACTCTTTCCCAAGAATCTTCAAGTGGGCATTTCGAGCGCTTTGAGGACCATTGCGGATAAGGAAATATCTTCCCATAAGAAGTAGACAGAAGTATAATCAGAAACTTCATTTTGATCTGTACATTCAACTCACAAAGCAGACCCTTACTTTTGATAGAGAAGTTTTGAAACACTCTTTTTGTAGAATCTGCAATTGGATATTTGGAGCGCTTTCAGGCCTCTGGTAGAAAAGGAAATATCTTCACATAAAAACTAGACAGAAGCATTCTCAGAAACGACTTTGTGATGTGTGTATTCTACTCCCATAGTTGAACATTTCTTTTGATAGAGCTGCCTGGAAACAATCTTCTTGTAGAATCTGCAAGTGGACATTTGGAGCGTTTCGAAGGCTGTGGTTGAAAAGGTAATATCTTCACCTAAAAACTAATTGGAAGCATTCTCCGAAACTTTTTGTGATGTGTGCGTTCAACTCACAGAGCTGAAACTTCCTTTTCTTAGACCAGTTTTGAATCACTCTTTTTGTAGAATCCGCATTCAGATATTTGGAGCGCTTTGAAGACTTCATTGGAATCGCGAATACCTTCACATAAAAACTAGACAGAACCATTCTCAGAAACTCCTTTGAGATGTGTGCATTCAACTCACAGAGCTGAACCTTTCTTTTGATAGTGCAGTTTTGAAACATTCTTTTTAAAAAATCTGCAGTTGGACATTTGGAGCTCTTTTAGGCTATCGGTTGAAAAGGAAGTATCTTCACATTAAAACAAGACAGAAGCATTCTCAGAAACTCCTTTATGATGTCTGCATTCAACTCACAGAGTTGAACCTTCCTTTTGATAGAGCAGTTTTGAAACACTCTTTCTGTAGAATCTGGAGGCGGATATTAGGGTGCTTTGAAGCCTTCTTGGGAAACAGGATTATCTTCACATAAAAATTACACAGAAGCATTCTCAGAAACTTCTTTGTGATGTGTGCATTCAACTCACAGCGTTGAAACTTCCTTTTGCTAGAGCAGTTTTGAAACCCTCTTTTTGAAGAATCTGAAAGTGCATAATTGCAGCACTTTGAGGCTTAAGGTAGAAAAGGAAATATCTTCATATAAAAACTAGACAGAAGCATTCTCAGAAACTACTTTGTGATGTGTGCATTCTACTCACATAGTTGAAATTTCCTTCTGATACTGCAGTTTTGAAACAGTCTTTTTGAGGGATCTTCAAGTGGGCATTTTGAGGGCTTTGGGGACTATTGTGGATAAGGAAATATCTTCACATGAAAAGTAGACAGAAGTGTTCTCAGAAACTTAATTTTGATGGGTGCATTCCACTAACAAAGTAAAACCTTACTTTTATAGAGCAGTTTTGAAACAGTCTTTTTGTAGACTCTGCAAGTGGATATTTGGAGCGCTTTGAAGCCTTCGTTGGAAACGGGAATATCTTCCCCTTGAAACCAGACAGAAGCATTCTCAGAAACTTCTTTGTGATGTGGGCATTGAACTCACGGAGCTGAACCTTCCTTTGGATTGAGCAGTTTTGAAAAACTCTTCCTTTATAATCTGCAGGTGGATATTTGGAGTGCTTTGAAGCCTTCTTTGGAAACGGGAGTATCGTCACATAAAAATAGACAGAAGTATTCCCAGAAACTTCTTTGTGATTTGTGCATTCAACTCACAGAGTTGAAGCTTCTTTTTGATAGAGCAGTTTTGAAACACCCTTTTTGCACAATCTGCAGGAGGATATTTGGAGCTCTTTGAGTGCTACATTGGAAACGGGAATATCGTCACCTAAAAACTAGAAAGAAGCATTCTCTGAAACCACTTTGTGATGTGTGCATTCATCTCACAGAGTTGAACCTTCCTTTTGATAGAGCAGTTTTGAAACCCTCTTTTTGTACAATCTGCAAGTGGATATTTGGAGCAAATTGAAGCCTTCTTTGGAAATGGGAATATCTTAAAATTAAAAATTAGGCAGAAGAATTCTCAGAAACGACTTTGTGATGTGTGCATTCAACTGACACATTTGTACACACCTTTTCATAGAGCAGTTTTGAAACACTCTTTTTTAGTATCTGCAAGTGGATATTTGGAGCACATTTATGATATTTGGAGCACATTTATGCCTATGGTAGAAAAGGAAATATCTTCACATAAAAACTAGACGGAAGCATTCTCAGAAACGAATTTGTGTTGTGTGCATTGTACTCCCATAGTTGAATATTTCTTTTGATAGAGCAGTCTGGAGACACTCTGTTTCTAAAATCTGCAAATGGACATTTGGAGCGCTTTGAAGGTTATGATGGAAAAGGGAATATCTTCGCATTAAAACTAGACAGAAGCATCCTCAGAAACTTCTTTGTGATGTGTGCATTCAACTCCCAGGTTGAACCTTTCCTTTGTTAGAGCAGTTTTGAAACACTCCTTTTTTTAGAATCTGCAGGCGGATACTTAAGTACTCTTTGAAGCATTCTTTGGAAACGAGAACATCTTCACATAAAACCTAGACAGAAGCATTCTCAGAAACGTCTTTGTGATGTGTCCATTCAACTCACAGGGTTGATAGAACAGTTTTGATAGAGCATTTCTGAAACACTCTTTTTGAAGAATCTGCCAGTTCATATTTGCCGTGCTTTGAGGCTTATGGTAGAAAAGGAAATATCTTCCTATAAAAACTAGACAGAAGCATTCTCAGAAACGACTTTGTGATGTGTGCATTCTACACGCAAAGTTGAAACTTTCTTTTGATAGAGCAGTTTTGAAACCGTCTTTCCGAAGAATCTTCAAGTGGGCATTTCGAGGGCTTTGAGGACCATTGCGGATAAGGAAATATCTTCCCATAAGAAGTAGACAGAAGTATAATCAGAAACTTCATTTTGATGTGTACATTCAACTCACAAAGCAGACCCTTACTTTTGATAGAGAAGTTTTGAAACACTCTTTTTGTAGAATCTGCAATTGGATATTTGGAGCGCTTTCAGGCCTCTGGTAGAAAAGGAAATATCTTCACATAAAAACTAGACAGAAGCATTCTCAGAAACGACTTTGTGATGTGTGTATTCTACTCCCATAGTTGAACATTTCTTTTGATAGAGCCGCCTGGAAACAATCTTCTTGCAGAATCTGCAAGTGGACATTTGGAGCGTTTCGAAGGCTGTGGTTGAAAAGGTAATATCTTCACCCAAAAACTAAATGGAAGCATTGTCCGAAACTTTTTGTGATGTGTGCGTTCAACTCACAGAGCTGAACCTTCCTTTTCATAGACCAGTTTTGAATCACTCTTTTTGTAGAATCCGCATTTAGATATTTGGAGCGCTTTGAAGACTTCATTGGAATCGCGAATACCTTCACATAAAAACTAGACAGAACCATTCTCAGAAACTTCTTTGAGATGTGTGCATTCAACTCACAGAGCTGAACATTTCTTTTGATAGTGCAGT
The DNA here is from genome assembly GCF_000001405.40 of Homo sapiens. Classification (NCBI taxonomy): domain Eukaryota; kingdom Metazoa; phylum Chordata; class Mammalia; order Primates; family Hominidae; genus Homo; species Homo sapiens. The sequence goes on from NC_000007.14 coordinate 61,451,181, forward strand.
TTTGAAACATTCTTTTTAAAAAATCTGCAGTTGGACATTTGGAGCTCTTTTAGGCTATCGGTTGAAAAGGAAATATCTTCACATTAAAACAAGACAGAAGCATTCTCAGAAACTCCTTTATGATGTCTGCATTCAACTCACAGAGTTGAACCTTCCTTTTGATAGAGCAGTTTTGAAACACTCTTTCTGTAGAATCTGGAGGCGGATATTAGGGTGCTTTGAAGCCTTCTTGGGAAACAGGATTATCTTCACATAAAAATTAGACAGAAGCATTCTCAGAAACTTCTTTGTGATGTGTGCATTCCACTCACAGCGTTGAAACTTCCTTTTGCCAGAGCAGTTTTGAAACCCTCTTTTTGAAGAATCTGAAAGTGCATAATTGCAGCACTTTGAGGCTTAAGGTAGAAAAGGAAATATCTTCATATAAAAACTAAACAGAAGCATTCTCAGAAACTACTTTGTGATGTGTGCATTCTACTCACATAGTTGAAATTTCCTTCTGATACTGCAGTTTTGAAACCGTCTTTTTGAGGAATCTTCCAGTGGGCATTTTGAGGGCTTTGGGGGCTATTGTGGATAAGGAAATATCTTCACATGAAAAGTAGACAGAAGGGTTCTCAGAAACTTCATTTTGATGGGTGCATTCAACTAACAAGGTACAACCTTACTTTTATAGAGCAGTTTTGAAACAGTCTTTTTGTAGACTCTGCAAGTGGATATTTGGAGCGCTTTGAAGCCTTCGTTGGAAACGGGAATATCTTCCCCTTGAAACTAGACAGAAGCATTCTCAGAAACTTCTTTGTGATGTGGGCATTGAACTCACGGAGCTGAACCTTCCTTTGGATTGAGCAGTTTTGAAAAACTCTTCCTTTATAATCTGCAGGTGGATATTTGGAGTGCTTTGAAGCCTTCTTTGGAAACGGGAGTATCGTCACATAAAAATAGACAGAAGTATTCCCAGAAACTTCTTTGTGATTTGTGCATTCAACTCACAGAGTTGAAGCTTCTTTTTGTTAGAGCAGTTTTGAAACACCCTTTTTGCACAATCTGCAGGAGGATATTTGGAGCTCTTTGAGTGCTACATTGGAAACGGGAATATCGTCACCTAAAAACTAGAAAGAAGCATTCTCTGAAACCACTTTGTGATGTTTGCATTCATCTCACAGAGTTGAACCTTCCTTTTGATAGAGCAGTTTTGAAACCCTCTTTTTGTACAATCTGCAAGTGGATATTTGGAGCAAATTGAAGCCTTCTTTGGAAATGGGAATATCTTAAATCTAAAAATTAGGCAGAAGCATTCTCAGAAACTACTTTGTGATGTGTGCATTCAACTCACAGAATTGAACCTTCCTTTTGATACAGCAGTTTTGAAACACTCTTTGTTTAGAATCTGCAAGTGGATATTTGGAGCACATTTATGCCTGTGGTAGAAAAGGAAATATCTTCACATAAAAACTAGACAGAAGCATTCTCAGAAACGAATTTGTGATGTGGGCATTCTACTCCCATAGTTGAAAATTTCTTTTGGTAGAGCAGTCTGGAAACACTCTGTTTGTAAAATCTGCAAATGGACATTTGGAGCGCTTTGAAGGTTATGGTGGAAGAGGGAATATCTTCGCATTAAAACTAGACAGAAGCATTCTCAGAAACTTCTTTGTGATGTGTGCATTCAACTCCCAGGTTGAACCTTTCTTTTCTTAGAGCAGTTTTGAAACACTCCTTTTGTAGAATCTGCAGGCGGATATTTAAGTACTCTTTGAAGCATTCTTTGGAAACGAGAATATCTTCACCTAAAACCTAGACAGAAGCATTCTCAGAAACATCTTTGTGATGTGTCCATTCATCTCACAGAGTTGATAGAACAGTTTTGATAGAGCAGTTTTGAAACACTCTTTTTAAAGAATCTGCCAGTTCATATGTGCAGTGCTTTGAGGCTTATGGTAGAAAAGGAAATATCTTCATATAAAAACTAGACAGAAGCATTCTCAGAAACGACTTTGTGATGTGTGCATTCTACACACAAAGTTGAAACTTTCTTTTGATAGAGCAGTTTTGAAACAGTCTTTCCGAAGAATCTTCAAGTGGGCATTTCGAGGGCTTTGAAGACCATTGCGGATAAGGAAATATCTTCACATAAGAAGTAGACAGAAGTATAATCAGAAACTTCATTTTGATGTGTACATTCAACTCACAAAGCAGACCCTTACTTTTGATAGAGAAGTTTTGAAACACTCTTTTTGTAGAATCTGCAATTGGATATTTGGAGCGCTTTCAGGCTTCTGGTAGAAAAGGAAATATCTTCACATAAAAACTAGACAGAAGCATTCTCAGAAACGACTTTGTGATGTGTGTATTCTACTCCCATAGTTGAACATTTCTTTTGATAGAGCCGCCTGGAAACAATCTTCTTGTAGAATCTGCAAGTGGACATTTGGAGCGTTTCGAAGGCTGTGGTTGAAAAGGTAATATCTTCACCTAAAAACTAAATGGAAGCATTCTCAGAAACTTTCTGTGATGTGTGCGTTCAACTCACAGAGCTGAACCTTCCTTTTCATAGACCAGTTTTGAATCACTCTTTTTGTAGAATCCGCATTTAGATATTTGGAGCGCTTTGAAGACTTCATTGGAATCGCGAATATCTTCACATAAAAAGTAGACAGAACCATTCTCAGAAACTCCTTTGAGATGTGTGCATTCAACTCACAGAGCTGGACCTTTCTTTTGATAGTGCAGTTTTGAAACATTCTTTTTAAAAAATCTGCAGTTGGACATTTGGAGCTCTTTTAGGCTATCGGTTGAAAAGGAAGTATCTTCACATTAAAACAAGACAGAAGCATTCTCAGAAACTCCTTTATGATGTCTGCATTCAACTCACAGAGTTGAACCTTCCTTTTGATAGAGCAGTTTTGAAACACTCTTTCTGTAGAATCTGGAGGCGGATATTAGGGTGCTTTGAAGCCTTCTTGGGAAACAGGATTATCTTCACATAAAAATTAGACAGAAGCATTCTCAGAAACTTCTTTGTGATGTGTGCATTCAACTCACAGCGTTGAAACTTCCTTTTGCCAGAGCAGTTTTGAAACCCTCTTTTTGAAGAATCTGAAAGTGCATAATTGCAGCACTTTGAGGCTTAAGGTCGAAAAGGAAATATCTTCATATAAAAACTAGACAGAAGCATTCTCAGAAACTACTTTGTGATGTGTGCATTCTACTCACATAGTTGAAATTTCCTTCTGATACTGCAGTTTTGAAACCGTCTTTTTGAGGAATCTTCGGGTGGGCATTTTGAGGGCTTTGGGGACTATTGTGGATAAGGAAATATCTTCACATGAAAAGTAGACAGAAGTGTTCTCAGAAACTTCATTTTGATGGGTGCATTCCACTAACAAAGTACAACCTTACTTTTATAGAGCAGTTTTGAAACAGTCTTTTTGTAGACTCTGCAAGCGGATATTTGGAGCGCTTTGAAGCCTTCGTTGGAAACGGGAATATCTTCCCCTTGAAACCAGACAGAAGCATTCTCAGAAACTTCTTTGTGATGTGGGCATTGAACTCACGGAGCTGAACCTTCCTTTGGATTGAGCAGTTTTGAAAAACTCTTCCTTTATAATCTGCAGGTGGATATTTGGAGTGCTTAGAAGCCTTCTTTGGAAACGGGAGTATCGTCACATAAAAATAGACAGAAGTATTCCCAGAAACATCTTTGTGATTTGTGCAGTCAACTCAGAGAGTTGAAGCTTCTTTTTGATAGAGCAGTTTTGAAACACACTTTTTGCACAATCTGCAGGAGGATATTTGGAGCTCTTTGAGAGCTACATTGGAAACGGGAATATCGTACCCTGAAAACTAGAAAGAAGCATTCTCTGAAACCACTTTGTGATGTGTGCATTCATCTCACAGAGTTGAACCTTCCTTTTGATAGAGCAGTTTTGAAACCCTCTTTTTGTACAATCTGCATGTGGATATTTGGAGCAAATTGAAGCCTTCTTTGGAAATGGGAATATCTTAAATCTAAAAATTAGGCAGAAGCATTCTCAGAAACTACTTTGTGATGTGTGCATTCAACTCACAGAATTGAACCTTCCTTTTGATACAGCAGTTTTGAAACACTCTTTTTTTTAGAATCTGCAAGTGGATATTTGGAGCACATTTATGCCTGTGGTAGAAAAGGAAATATCTTCACATAAAAACTAGACAGAAGCATTCTCAGAAACGAATTTCTGATGTGTGCATTCTACTCCCATAGTTGAAAATTTCTTTTGGTAGAGCAGTCTGGAAACACTCTGTTTGTAAAATCTGCAAATGGACATTTGGAGCGCTTTGAAGGTTATGGTGGAAGAGGGAATATCTTCGCATTAAAACTAGACAGAAGCATTCTCAGAAACTTCTTTGTGATGTGTGCATTCAACTCCCAGGTTGAACCTTTCTTTTGTTAGAGCAGTTTTGAAACACTCCTTTTGTAGAATCTGCAGGCGGATATTTAAGTATTCTTTGAAGCATTCTTTGGAAACGAGAATATCTTCACCTAAAACCCAGACAGAGGCATTCTCAGAAACATCTTTGTGATGTGTCCATTCATCTCACAGAGTTGATAGAACAGTTTTGATAGAGCAGTTTTGAAACACTCTGTTTAAAGAATCTGCCAGTTCATATGTGCAGTGCTTTGAGGCTTATGGTAGAAAAGGAAATATCTTCCTATAAAAACTAGACAGAAGCATTCTCAGAAACGACTTTGTGATGTGTGCATTCTACACACAAAGTTGAAACTTTCTTTTGATAGAGCAGTTTTGAAACAGTCTTTCCGAAGAATCTTCAAGTGGGCATTTCGAGGGCTTTGAGGACCATTGCGGATAAGGAAATATCTTCCCATAAGAAGTAGACAGAAGTATAATCAGAAACTTCATTTTGATGTGTACATTCAACTCACAAAGCAGACCCTTACTTTTGATAGAGAAGTTTTGAAACACTCTTTTTGTAGAATCTGCAATTGGATATTTGGAGCGCTTTCAGGCCTCTGGTAGAAAAGGAAATATCTTCACATAAAAACTAGACAGAAAGCATTCCCAGGAAACGACTTTGTGATGTGTGTATTCTACTCCCATAGTTGAACATTTCTTTTGATAGAGCCGCCTGGAAACAATCTTCTTGTAGAATCTGCAAGTGGACATTTGGAGCGTTTTGAAGGCTGTGGTTGAAAAGGTAATATCTTCACCTAAAAACTAAATGGAAGCATTCTCAGAAACTTTCTGTGATGTGTGCGTTCAACTCACAGAGCTGAACCTTCCTTTTAATAGACCAGTTTTGAATCACTCTTTTTGTAGGATCCGCATTTAGATATTTGGAGCGCTTTGAAGACTTCATTGGAATCGCGAATATCTTCACATAAAAACTAGACAGAAGCATTCTCAGAAACTTCTTTGAGATGTGTGCATTCAACTCACGGAGCTGAACCTTTCTTTTGATAGTGCAGTTTTGAAACATTCTTTTGAAAAAATCTGCAGTTGGACATTTGGAGCTCTTTTAGGCTATCGGTTGAAAAGGATATATCTTCACATTAAAACAAGACAGAAGCATTCTCAGAAACTCCTTTATGATGTCTGCATTCAACTCACAGATTTGAAACTTCCTTTTGATAGAGCAGTTTTGAAACACTCTTTCTGTAGAATCTGGAGGCGGATATTAGGGTGCTTTGAAGCCTTCTTGGGAAACAGGATTATCTTCACATAAAAATTAGACAGAAGCATTCTCAGAAACTTCTTTGTGATGTGTGCATTCAACTCACAGCGTTGAAACTTCCTTTTGCCAGAGCAGTTTTGAAACCCTCTTTTTGAAGAATCTGAAAGTGCATAATTGCAGCACTTTGAGGCTTAAGGTCGAAAAGGAAATATCTTCATATAAAAACTAGACAGAAGCATTCTCAGCAAACTACTTTGTGATGTGTGCATTCTACTCACATAGTTGAAATTTCCTTCTTATACTGCAGTTTTGAAACCGTCTTTTTGAGGAATCTTCCAGTGGGCATTTTGAGGGCTTTGGGGACTATTGTGGATAAGGAAATATCTTCACATGAAAAGTAGACAGAAGTGTCCTCAGAAACTTCATTTTGATGGGTGCATTCAACTAACAAGGTAAAACCTTACTTTTATTGAGCAGTTTTGAAACAGTCTTTTTGTAGACTCTGCAGGTGGATATTTGGAGCGCTTTGAAGCCTTCGTTGGAAACGGGAATATCTTCCCCTTGAAACTAGACAGAAGCATTCTCAGAAACTTCTTTGTGATGTGGGCATTGAACTCACGGAGCTGAACCTTCCTTTGGATTGAGCAGTTTTGAAAAACTCTTCCTTTATAATCTGCAGGTGGATATTTGGAGTGCTTTGAAGCCTTCTTTGGAAACGGGAGTATCGTCACATAAAAATAGACAGAAGTATTCCCAGAAACTTCTTTGTGATTTGTGCATTCAACTCACAGAGTTGAAGCTTCTTTTTGATAGAGCAGTTTTGAAACACCCTTTTTGCACAATCTGCAGGAGGATATTTGGAGCTCTTTGAGTGCTACATTGGAAACGGGAATATCGTCACCTGAAAACTAGAAACAAGCATTCTCTGAAACCACTTTGTGATATGTGCATTCATCTCACAGAGTTGAACCTTCCTTTTGATAGAGCAGTTTTGAAACCCTCTTTTTGTACAATCTGCAAGTGGATATTTGGAGCAAATTGAAGCCTTCTTTGGAAATGGGAATATCTTAAAATTAAAAATTAGGCAGAAGCATTCTCAGAAACTACTTTGTGATGTGTGCATTCAACTCACAGAATTGAACCTTCCTTTTGATAGAGCAGTTTTGAAATACTCTTTTTTTAGAATCTGCCAGTGGATATTTGGAGCACGTTTATGCCTATGGTAGAAAAGGAAATATCTTCACATAAAAACTAGACAGAAAGCATTCTCAGAAACGCATTTGTGATGTGTGCATTCTACTCCCATAGTTGAAAATTTCTTTTGATAGAGCAGTCTGGAAACACTCTGTTTGTAAAATCTGCAAATGGACATTTGGAGCGCTTTGAAGGTTATGGTGGAGAAGGGAATATCTTCGCATTAAAACTAGACAGAAGCATTCTCAGAAACTTCTTTGTGATGTGTGCATTCAACTCCCCAGGTTGAACCTTTCTTTTGTTAGAGCAGTTTTGAAACACTCCTTTTGTAGAATCTGCAGGCGGATATTTAAGTACTATTTGAAGCATTCTTTGGAAACGAGAATATCTTCACCTAAAACCTAGACAGAAGCATTCTCAGAAACATCTTTGTGATGTGTCCATTCATCTCACAGAGTTGATAGAACAGTTTTGATAGAGCAGTTTTGAAACACTCCTTTTAAAGAATCTGCCAGTTCATATGTGCAGTGCTTTGAGGCTTATGGTAGAAAAGGAAATATCTTCATATAAAAACTAGACAGAAGCATTCTCAGAAACGACTTTGTGATGTGTGCATTCTACACGCAAAGTTGAAACTTTCTTTTGATAGAGCAGTTTTGAAACCGTCTTTCCGAAGAATCTTCAAGTGGGCATTTCGAGGGCTTTGAGGACCATTGCGGATAAGGAAATATCTTCCCATAAGAAGTAGACAGAAGTATAATCAGAAACTTCATTTTGATGTGTACATTCAACTCACAAAGCAGACCCTTACTTTTGATAGAGAAGTTTTGAAACACTCTTTTTGTAGAATCTGCAATTGGATATTTGGAGCGCTTTCAGGCCTCTGGTAGAAAAGGAAATATCTTCACATAAAAACTAGACAGAAGCATTCTCAGAAACGACTTTGTGATGTGTGTATTCTACTCCCATAGTTGAACATTTCTTTTGATAGAGCCGCCTGGAAACAATCTTCTTGTAGAATCTGCAAGTGGACATTTGGAGCGTTTTGAAGGCTGTGGTTCAAAAGGTAATATCTTCACCCAAAAACTAAATGGAAGCATTCTCCGAAACTTTTTGTGATGTGTGCGTTCAACTCACAGAGCTGAACCTTCCTTTTCATAGACCAGTTTTGAATCACTCTTTTTGTAGAATCCGCATTTAGATATTTGGAGCGCTTTGAAGACTTCATTGGAATCGCGAATATCTTCACATAAAAACTAGACAGAAGCATTCTCAGAAACTTCTTCGAGATGTGTGCATTCAACTAACAGAGCTGAACCTTTCTTTTGATAGTGCAGTTTTGAAACATTCTTTTTAAAAAATCTGCAGTTGGACATTTGGAGCTCTTTTAGGCTATCGGTTGAAAAGGAAATATCTTCACATTAAAACAAGACAGAAGCATTCTCAGAAACTCCTTTATGATGTCTGCATTCAACTCACAGAGTTCAACCTTCCTTTTGATAGAGCAGTTTTGAAACACTCTTTCTGTAGAATCTGGAGGAGGATATTAGGGTGCTTTGAAGCCTTCTTGGGAAACAGGATTATCTTCACATAAAAATTAGACAGAAGCATTCTCAGAAACTTCTTTGTGATGTGTGCATTCCACTCACAGCGTTGAAACTTCCTTTTGCCAGAGCAGTTTTGAAACCCTCTTTTTGAAGAATCTGAAAGTGCATAATTGCAGCACTTTGAGGCTTAAGGTAGAAAAGGAAATATCTTCATATAAAAACTAGACAGAAGCATTCTCTGAAACTACTTTGTGATGTGTGCATTCTACTCACATAGTTGAAATTTCCTTCTGATACTGCAGTATTGAAACCGTCTTTTTGAGGAATCTTCCAGTGGGCATTTTGAGGGCTTTGGGGACTATTGTGGATAAGGAAATATCTTCACATGAAAAGTAGACAGAAGTGTTCTCAGAAACTTCATTTTGATGGGTGCATTCAACTAACAAGGTACAACCTTACTTTTATTGAGCAGTTTTGAAACAGTCTTTTTGTAGACTCTGCAAGTGGATATTTGGAGCGCTTTGAAGCCTTCGTTGGAAACGGGAATATCTTTCCCTTGAAACTAGACAGAAGCATTCTCAGAAACTTCTTTGTGATGTGGGCATTGAACTCACGGAGCTGAACCTTCCTTTGGATTGAGCAGTTTTGAAAAACTCTTCCTTTATAATCTGCAGGTGGATATTTGGAGTGCTTTGAAGCCTTCTTTGGAAACGGGAGTATCGTCACATAAAAATAGACAGAAGTATTCCCAGAAACTTCTTTGTGATTTGTGCATTCAACTCACAGAGTTGAAGCTTCTTTTTGATAGAGCAGTTTTGAAACACCCTTTTTGCACAATCTGCAGGAGGATATTTGGAGCTCTTTGAGTGCTACATTGGAAACGGGAATATCGTCACCTAAAAACTAGAAAGAAGCATTCTCTGAAACCACTTTGAAATGTGTGCATTCATCTCACAGAGTTGAACCTTCCTTTTGATAGAGCAGTTTTGAAACCCTCTTTTTGTACAATCTGCAAGTGGATATTTGGAGCAAATTGAAGCCTTCTTTGGAAATGGGAATATCTTAAAATTAAAAATTAGGCAGAAGCATTCTCAGGAAACTACTTTGTGATGTGTGCATTCAACTCACAGAATTGAACCTTCCTTTTGATAGAGCAGTTTTGAAACACTCTTTTTTTAGAATCTGCCAGTGGATATTTGGAGCACGTTTATGCCTATGGTAGAAAAGGAAATATCTTCACATAAAAACTAGACAGAAGCATTCTCAGAAACGAATTTGTGATGTGTGCATTCTACTCCCATAGTTGAAAATTTCTTTTGGTAGAGCAGTCTGGAAACACTCTGTTTGTAAAATCTGCAAATGGACATTTGGAGCGCTTTGAAGGTTATGGTGGAAGAGGGAATATATTCGCCTTAAAACTAGACAGAAGCATTCTCAGAAACTTCTTTGTGATGTGTGCATTCAACTCCCAGGTTGAACCTTTCTTTTGTTAGAGCAGTTTTGAAACACTCCTTTTGTAGAATCTGCAGGCGGATATTTAAGTACTCTTTGAAGCATTCTTTGGAAACGAGAATATCTTCACCTAAAACCTAGACAGAAGCATTCTCAGAAACATCTTTGTGATGTGTCCATTCATCTCACAGAGTTGATAGAACAGTTTTGATAGAGCAGTTTTGAAACACTCTTTTTAAAAATCTGCCAGTTCATATGTGCAGTGCTTTGAGGCTTATGGTAGAAAAGGAAATATCTTCATATCAAAACTAGACAGAAGCATTCTCAGAAACGACTTTGTGATGTGTGCATTCTACACACAAAGTTGAAACTTTCTTTTGATAGAGCAGTTTTGAAACAGTCTTTCCGAAGAAACTTCAAGTGGGCATTTCGAGGGCTTTGAGGACCATTGCGGATAAGGAAATATCTTCCCATAAGAAGTAGACAGAAGTATGATCAGAAACTTCATTTTGATGTGTACATTCAACTCACAAAGCAGACCCTTACTTTTGATAGAGAAGTTTTGAAACACTCTTTTTGTAGAATCTGCAATTGGATATTTGGTGCGCTTTCAGGCCTCTGGTAGAAAAGGAAATATCTTCACATAAAAACTAAACAGAAGCATTCTCAGAAACGACTTTGTGATGTGTGTATTCTACTCCCATAGTTGAACATTTCTTTTGATAGAGCCGCCTGGAAACAAACTTCTTGTAGAATCTGCAAGTGGACATTTGGAGCGTTTCGAAGGCTGTGGTTGAAAAGGTAATATCTTCACCTAAAAACTAAATGGAAGCATTGTCCGAAACATTTTTGTGATGTGTGCGTTCAACTCACAGAGCTGAACCTTCCTTTTCATAGACCAGTTTTGAATCACTCTTTTTGTAGAATCCGCATTTAGATATTTGGAGCGCTTTGAAGACTTCATTGGAATCGCGAATACCTTCACATTAAAACTAGACAGAACCATTCTCAGAAACTTCTTTGAGATGTGTGCATTCAACTCACAGAGCTGAACCTTTCTTTTGATAGTGCAGTTTTGAAACATTCTTTTTAAAAAATCTGCAGTTGGACATTTGGAGCTCTTTTAGGCTATCGGTTGAAAAGGAAATATCTTCACATTAAAACAAGACAGAAGCATTCTCAGAAACTCCTTTATGATGTCTGCATTCAACTCACAGAGTTGAACCTTCCTTTTGATAGAGCAGTTTTGAAACACTCTTTCTGTAGAATCTGGAGGCGGATAATAGGGTGCTTTGAAGCCTTCTTGGGAAACAGGATTATCTTCACATAAAAATTAGACAGAAGCATTCTCAGAAACTTCTTTGTGATGTGTGCATTCAGCTCACAGCGTTGAAACTTCCTTTTGCCAGAGCAGTTTTGAAACCCTCTTTTTGAAGAATCTGAAAGTGCATAATTGCAGCACTTTGAGGCTTAAGGTCGAAAAGGAAATATCTTCATATAAAAACTAGAGAGAAGCATTCTCAGAAACTACTTTGTGATGTGTGCATTCTACTCACATAGTTGAAATTTCCTTCTGATACTGCAGTTTTGAAACAGTCTTTTTGAGGGATCTTCAAGTGGGCATTTTGAGGGCTTTGGGGACTATTGTGGATAAGGAAATATCTTCACATGAAAAGTAGACAGAAGTGTTCTCAGAAACTTCATTTTGATGGGTGCATTCCACTAACAAAGTACAACCTTACTTTTATAGAGCAGTTGTGAAACAGTCTTTTTGTAGACTCTGCAAGTGGATATTTGGAGCGCTTTGAAGCCTTCGTTGGAAACGGGAATATCTTCCCCTTGAAACCAGACAGAAGCATTCTCAGAAACTTCTTTGTGATGTGGGCATTGAACTCACGGAGCTGAACCTTCCTTTGGATTGAGCAGTTTTGAAAAACTCTTCCTTTATAATCTGCAGGTGGATATTTGGAGTGATTTGAAGCCTTCTTTGGAAACGGGAGTATCGTCACATAAAAATAGACAGAAGTATTCCCAGAAACTTCTTTGTGATTTGTGCATTCAAGTTACAGAGTTGAAGCTTCTTTTTGATAGAGCAGTTTTGAAACACCCTTTTTGCACAATCTGCAGGAGGATATTTGGAGCTCTTTGAGTGCTACATTGGAAACGGGAATATCGTCACCTGAAAACTAGAAACAAGCATTCTCTGAAACCACTTTGTGATGTGTGCATTCATCTCACAGAGTTGAACCTTCCTTTTGATAGAGCAGTTTTGAAACCCTCTTTTTGTACAATCTGCAAGTGGATATTTGGAGCAAATTGAAGCCTTCTTTGGAAATGGGAATATCTTAAAATTAAAAATTAGGCAGAAGCATTCTCAGAAACTACTTTGTGATGTGTGCATTCATCTCACAGAATTGAACCTTCCTTTTGATAGAGCAGTTTTGAAACACTCTTTTTTTAGAATCTGCCAGTGGATATTTGGAGCACGTTTATGCCTATGGTAGAAAAGGAAATATCTTCACATAAAAACTAGACAGAAGCATTCTCAGAAACGAATTTGTGTTGTGTGCATTCTACTCCCATAGTTGAAAATTTCTTTTGATAGAGCAGTCTGGAAACACTCTGTTTCTAAAATCTGCAAATGGACATTTGGAGCGCTTTGAAGGTTATGATGGAAAAGGGAATATCTTCGCATTAAAACTAGACAGAAGCATTCTCAGAAACTTCTTTGTGATGTGTGCATTCAACTCCCAGGTTGAACCTTTCTTTTGTTAGAGCAGTTTTGAAACACTCCTTTTGTAGAATCTGCAGGCGGATATTTAAGTACTCTTTGAAGCATTCTTTGGAAACGAGAATATCTTCACCTAAAACCTAGACAGAAGCATTCTCAGAAAGATCTTTGTGATGTGTCCATTCATCTCACAGAGTTGATAGAACAGTTTTGATAGAGCAGTTTTGAAACACTCTTTTTAAAGAATCTGCCAGTTCATATGTGCAGTGCTTTGAGGCTTATGGCAGAAAAGGAAATATCTTCATATAAAAACTAGACAGAAGCATTCTCAGAAACGACTTTGTGATGTGTGCATTCTACACACAAAGTTGAAACTTTCTTTTGATAGAGCAGTTTTGAAACCGTCTTTCCGAAGAATCTTCAAGTGGGCATTTCGAGGGCTTTGAGGACCATTGCGGATAAGGAAATATCTTCCCATAAGAAGTAGACAGAAATTATAATCAGAAACTTCATTTTGATGTGTACATTCAACTCACAAAGCAGACCCTTACTTTTGATAGAGAAGTTTTGAAACACTCTTTTTGTAGAATCTGCAATGGGATGTTTGGAGCGCTTTCAGGCCTCTGGTAGAAAAGGAAATATCTTCACATAAAAACTAGACAGAAGCATTCTCAGAAACGACTTTGTGATGTGTGTATTCTACTCCCATAGTTGAACATTTCTTTTGATAGAGCCGCCTGGAAACAAACTTCTTGTAGAATCTGCAAGTGGACATTTGGAGCGTTTCGATGGCTGTGGTTGAAAAGGTAATATCTTCACCCAAAAACTAAATGGAAGCATTGTCGGAAACTTTTTGTGATGTGTGCGTTCAACTCACAGAGCTGAACCTTCCTTTTCATAGACCAGTTTTGAATCACTCTTTTTGTAGAATCCGCATTTAGATATTTGGAGCGCTTTGAAGACTTCATTGGAATCGCGAATACCTTCACATAAAAACTAGACAGAACCATTCTCAGAAACTTCTTTGAGATGTGTGCATTCAACTCACAGAGTTGAACCTTTCTTTTGATAGTGCAGTTTTGAAACATTCTTTTTAAAAAATCTGCAGTTGGACATTTGGAGCTCTTTTAGGCTATCGGTTGAAAAGGAAATATCTTCACATTAAAACAAGACAGAAGCATTCTCAGAAACTCCTTTATGATGTCTGCATTCAACTCACAGAGTTGAACCTTCCTTTTGATAGAGCAGTTTTGAAACACTCTTTCTGTAGAATATGGAGGCGGATGTTAGGGTGCTTTGAAGCCTTCTTGGGAAACAGGATTATCTTCACATAAAAATTAGACAGAAGCATTCTCAGAAACTTCTTTGTGATGTGTGCATTCAACTCACAGCGTTGAAACTTCCTTTTGCCAGAGCAGTTTTGAAACCCTCTTTTTGAAGAATCTGAAAGTGCATAATTGCAGCACTTTGAGGCTTAAGGTCAAAAAGGAAATATCTTCATATAAAAACTAGACAGAAGCATTCTCAGAAACTACTTTGTGATGTGTGCATTCTACTCACATAGTTGAAATTTCCTTCTGATACTGCAGTTTTGAAACAGTCTTTTTGAGGGATCTTCAAGTGGGCATTTTGAGGGCTTTGGGGACTATTGTGGATAAGGAAATAGCTTCACATGAAAAGTAGACAGAAGTGTTCTCAGAAACTTCATTTTGATGGGTGCATTCAACTAACAAAGTACAACCTTACTTTTATAGAGCAGTTTTGAAACAGTCTTTTTGTAGACTCTGCAAGTGGATATTTGGAGCGCTTTGAAGCCTTCGTTGGCAACGGGCATATCTTCCCCTTGAAACTAGACAGAAGCATTCTCAGAAACTTCTTTGTGATGTGGGCATTGAACTCACGGAGCTGAACCTTCCTTTGGATTGAGCAGTTTTGAAAAACTCTTCCTTTATAATCTGCAGGTGGATATTTGGAGTGCTTTGAAGCCTTCTTTGGAAACGGGAGTATCGTCACATAAAAATAGACAGAAGTATTCCCAGAAACTTCTTTGGATTTGTGCATTCAACTCACAGAGTTGAAGCTTCTTTTTGATAGAGCAGTTTTGAAACACCCTTTTTGCACAATCTGCAGGAGGATATTTGGAGCTCTTTGAGTGCTACATTGGAAACGGGAATATCGTCACCTAAAAACTAGAAAGAAGCATTCTCTGAAACCACTTTGTGATGTGTGCATTCATCTCACAGAGTTGAACCTTCCTTTTGATAGAGCAGTTTTGAAACCCTCTTTTTGTACAATCTGCAAGTGGATATTTGGAGCAAATTGAAGCCTTCTTTGGAAATGGGAATATCTTAAATCTAAAAATTAGGCAGAAGCATTCTCAGAAACTACTTTGTGATGTGTGCATTCAACTCACAGAATTGAACCTTCCTTTTGATACAGCAGTTTTGAAACACTCTTTGTTTAGAATCTGCAAGTGGATATTTGGAACACATTTATGCCTGTGGTAGAAAAGGAAATATCTTCACATAAAAACTAGACAGAAGCATTCTCAGAAACGAATTTGTGATGTGTGCATTCTACTCCCATAGTTGAAAATTTCTTTTGATAGAGCAGTCTGGAAACACTCTGTTTCTAAAATCTGCAAATGGACATTTGGAGCGCTTTGAAGGTTATGATGGAAAAGGGAATATCTTCGCATTAAAACTAGACAGAAGCATTCTCAGAAACTTCTTTGTGATGTGTGCATTCAACTCCCAGGTTGAACCTTTCTTTTGTTAGAGCAGTTTTGAAACACTCCTTTTGTAGAATCTGCAGGCGGATATTTAAGTACTCTTTGAAGCATTCTTTGGAAACGAGAATATCTTCACCTAAAACCTAGACAGAAGCATTCTCAGAAAGGTCTTTGTGATGTGTCCACTCAACTCACAGAGTTGATAGAACAGTTTTGATAGAGCAGTTTTGAAACACTCTTTTTGAAGAATCTGCCAGTTCATATGTGCAGTGCTTTGCGGCTTATGGTAGAAAAGGAAATATCTTCATATAAAAACTAGACAGAAGCATTCTCAGAAACGACTTTGTGATGTGTGCATTCTACACACAAAGTTGAAACTTTCTTTTGATAGAGCAGTTTTGAAACAGTCTTTCCGAAGAATCTTCAAGTGGGCATTTCGAGGGCTTTGAGGACCATTGCGGATAAGGAAATATCTTCCCATAAGAAGTAGACAGAAGAATAATCAGAAACTTCATTTTGATGTGTACATTCAACTCACAAAGCAGACCCTTACTTTTGATAGAGAAGTTTTGAAACACTCTTTTTGTAGAATCTGCAATTGGATATTTGGAGCGCTTTCAGGCCTCTGGTAGAAAAGGAAATATCTTCACATAAAAACTAGACAGAAGCGTTCTCAGAAACGACTTTGTGATGTGTGTATTCTACTCCCATAGTTGAACATTTCTTTTGATAGAGCCGCCTGGAAACAATCTTCTTGTAGAATCTGCAAGTGGACATTTGGAGCGTTTCGAAGGCTGTGGTTGAAAAGGTAATATCTTCACCCACAAACTAAATGGAAGCATTGTCCGAAACTTTTTGTGATGTGTGCGTTCAACTCACAGAGCTGAACCTTCCTTTTCATAGACCAGTTTTGAATCACTCTTTTTGTAGAATCCGCATTTAGATATTTGGAGCGCTTTGAAGACTTCATTGGAATCGCGAATACCTTCACATAAAAACTAGACAGAACCATTCTCAGAAACTTCTTTGAGATGTGTGCATTCAACTCACAGAGCTGAACCTTTCTTTTGATAGTGCAGTTTTGAAACATTCTTTTTAAAAAATCTGCAGTTGGACATTTGGAGCTCTTTTAGGCTATCGGTTGAAAAGGAAATATCTTCACATTAAAACAAGACAGAAGCATTCTCAGAAACTCCTTTATGATGTCTGCATTCAACTCACAGAGTTGAACCTTACTTTTGATAGAGCAGTTTTGAAACACTCTTTCTGTAGAATCTGGAGGCGGATATTAGGGTGCTTTGAAGCCTTCTTGGGAAACAGGATTATCTTCACATAAAAATTAGACAGAAGCATTCTCAGAAACTTCTTTGTGATGTGTGTATTCAACTCACAGCGTTGAAACTTCCTTTTGCTAGAGCAGTTTTGAAACCCTCTTTTTGAAGAATCTGAAAGTGCATAATTGCAGCACTTTGAGGCTTAAGGTAGAAAAGCAAATATCTTCATATAAAAACTAGACAGAAGCATTCTCAGAAACTACTTTGTGATGTGTGCATTCTACTCACATAGTTGAAATTTCCTTCTGATACTGCAGGTTTGAAACCGTCTTTTTGAGGAATCTTCCAGTGGGCATTTTGAGGGCTTTGGGGACTATTGTGGATAAGGAAATATCTTCACATGAAAAGTAGACAGAAGTGTTCTCAGAAACTTCATTTTGATGGGTGCATTCAACTAACAAGGTACAACCTTACTTTTATAGAGCAGTTTTGAAACAGTCTTTTTGTAGACTCTGCAAGTGGATATTTGGAGTGCTTTGAAGCCTTCGTTGGAAACGGGAATATCTTCCCCTTGAAACTAGACAGAAGCATTCTCAGAAACTTCTTTGTGATGTGGGCATTGAACTCACGGAGCTGAACCTTCCTTTGGATTGAGCAGTTTTGAAAAACTCTTCCTTTATAATCTGCAGGTGGATATTTGGAGTGCTTTGAAGCCTTCTTTGGAAACGGGAGTATCGTCACATAAAAATAGACAGAAGTATTCCCAGAAACTTCTTTGTGATTTGTGCATTCAACTCACAGAGTTGAAGCTTCTTTTTGATAGAGCAGTTTTGAAACACCCTTTTTGCACAATCTGCAGGAGGATATTTGGAGCTCTTTGAGTGCTACATTGGAAACGGGAATATCGTCACCTGAAAACTAGAAACAAGCATTCTCTGAAACCACTTTGTGATGTGTGCATTCATCTCACAGAGTTGAACCTTCCTTTTGATAGAGCAGTTTTGAAACCCTCTTTTTGTACAATCTGCAAGTGGATATTTGGAGCAAATTGAAGTCTTCTTTGGAAATGGGAATATCTTAAAATTAAAAATTAGGCAGAAGCATTCTCAGAAACTACTTTGTGATGTGTGCATTCAACTCACAGAATTGAACCTTCCTTTTGATAGAGCAGTTTTGAAACACTCTTTTTTTAGAATCTGCCAGTGGATATTTGGAGCACGTTTATGCCTATGGTAGAAAAGGAAATATCTTCACATAAAAACTAGACAGAAGCATTCTCAGAAACGAATTTGTGATGTGTGCATTCTACTCCCATAGTTGAAAATTTCTTTCGATAGAGCAGTCTGGAAACACTCTGATTGTAAAATCTGCAAATGGACATTTGGAGCGCTTTGAAGGTTATGGTGGAAAAGGGAATATCTTCGCATTAAAACTAGACAGAAGCATTCTCAGAAACTTCTTTGTGATGTGTGCATTCAACTCCCAGGTTGAACCTTTCTTTTCTTAGAGCAGTTTTGAAACACTCCTTTTGTAGAATCTGCAGGCGGATATTTAAGTACTCTTTGAAGCATTCTTTGGAAACGAGAATATCTTCACCTAAAACCTAGACAGAAGCATTCTCAGAAACATCTTTGTGATGTGTCCATTCATCTCACAGAGTTGATAGAACAGTTTTGATAGAGCAGATTTGAAACACTCTTTTTAAAGAATCTGCCAGTTCATATGTGCAGTGCTTTGAGGCTTATGGTAGAAAAGGAAATATCTTCCTATAAAAACTAGACAGAAGCATTCTCAGAAACGACTTTGTGATGTGTGCATTCTACACACAAAGTGGAAACTTTCTTTTGATAGAGCAGTTTTGAAACAGTCTTTCCGAAGAATCTTCAAGTGGGCATTTCGAGGGCTTTGAGGACCATTGCGGATAAGGAAATATCTTCCCATAAGAAGTAGACAGAAGTATAATCAGAAACTTCATTTTGATGTGTACATTCAACTCACAAAGCAGACCCTTACTTTTGATAGAGAAGTTTTGAAACACTCTTTTTGTAGAATCTGCAATTGGATATTTGGAGCGCTTTCAGGCCTCTGGTAGAAAAGGAAATATCTTCACATAAAAACTAGACAGAAGCATTCTCAGAAACGACTTTGTGATGTGTGTATTCTACTCCCATAGTTGAACATTTCTTTTGATAGAGCAGCCTGGAAACAATCTTCTTGTAGAATCTGCAAGTGGACATTTGGAGCGTTTTGAAGGCTGTGGTTGAAAAGGTAATATCTTCACCTAAAAACTAAATGGAAGCATTCTCCGAAACTTTTTGTGATGTGTGCGTTCAACTCACAGAGCTGAACCTTCCTTTTCTTAGACCAGTTTTGAATCACTCTTTTTCTAGAATCCGCATTTAGATATTTGGAGCGCTTTGAAGACTTCATTGGAATCGCGAATACCTTCACATAAAAACTAGACAGAACCATTCTCAGAAACTTCTTTGAGATGTGTGCATTCAACTCACAGAGCTGAACCTTTCTTTTGATAGTGCAGTTTTGAAACATTCTTTTTAAAATATCTGCAGTTGGACATTTGGAGCTCTTTTAGGCTATCGGTTGAAAAGGAAATATCTTCACATTAAAAGAAGACAGAAGCATTCTCAGAAACTCCTTTATGATGTCTGCATTCAACTCACAGAGTTGAACCTTCCTTTCCATAGAGCAGTTTTGAAACACTCTTTCTGTAGAATCTGGAGGCGGATATTAGGGTGCTTTGAAGCCTTCTTGGGAAACAGGATTATCTTCACATAAAAATTAGACAGAAGCATTCTCAGAAACTTCTTTGTGATGTGTGCATTCAACTCACAGCGTTGAAACTTCCTTTTGCTAGAGCAGTTTTGAAACCCTCTTTTTGAAGTATCTGAAAGTGCATAATTGCAGCACTTTGAGGCTTAAGGTAGAAAAGGAAATATCTTCATATAAAAACTAGACAGAAGCATTCTCAGAAACTACTTTGTGATGTGTGCATTCTACTCACATAGTTGAAATTTCCTTCTGATACTGCAGTTTTGAAACCGTCTTTTTGAGGGATCTTCAAGTGGTCATTTTGAGGGCTTTGGGGACTATTGTGGATAAGGAAATATCTTCACATGAAAAGTAGACAGAAGTGTTCTCAGAAACTTCATTTTGATGGGTGCATTCAACTAACAAGGTACAAGCTTACTTTTATTGAGCAGTTTTGAAACAGTCTTTTTGTAGACTCTGCAAGTGGATATTTGGAGCGCTTTGAAGCCTTCGTTGGAAACGGGAATATCTTCCCCTTGAAACTAGACAGAAGCATTCTCAGAAACTTCTTTGTGATGTGGGCATTGAACTCACGGAGCTGAACCTTCCTTTGGATTGAGCAGTTTAGAAAAACTCTTCCTTTATAATCTGCAGGTGGATATTTGGAGTGCTTTGAAGCCTTCTTTGGAAACGGGAGTATCGTCACATAAAAATAGACAGAAGTATTCCCAGAAACTTCTTTGTGATTTGTGCATTCAACTCACAGAGTTGAAGCTTCTTTTTGATAGAGCAGTTTTGAAACACCCTTTTTGCACAATCTGCAGGAGGATATTTGGAGCTCTTTGAGTGCTACATTGGAAACGGGAATATCGTCACCTAAAAACTAGAAAGAAACATTCTCTGAAACCACTTTGTGATGTGTGCATTCATCTCACAGAGTTGAACCTTCCTGTTGATAGAGCCGTTTTGAAACCCTCTTTTTGTACAATCTGCAAGTGGATATTTGGAGCAAATTGAAGCCTTCTTTGGAAATGGGAATATCTTAAAACTAAAAATTAGGCAGAAGCATTCTCAGAAACTACTTTGTGATGTGTGCATTCAACTCACAGAATTGAACCTTCCTTTTGATAGAGCAGTTTTGAAACACTCTTTTTTTAGAATCTGCCAGTGGATATTTGGAGCACGTTTATGCCTATGGTAGAAAAGGAAATATCTTCACATAAAAACTAGACAGAAGCATTCTCAGAAACGAATTTGTGATGTGTGCATTCTACTCCCATAGTTGAAAATTTCTTTTGGTAGAGCAGTCTGGAAACACTCTGTTTGTAAAATCTGCAAATGGACATTTGGAGCGCTTTGAAGGTTATGGTGGAAGAGGGAATATCTTCGCCTTAAAACTAGACAGAAGCATTCTCAGAAACTTCTTTGTGATGTGTGCATTCAACTCCCAGGTTGAACCTTTCTTTTGTTAGAGCAGTTTTGAAACACTCCTTCTGTAGAATCTGCAGGCGGATATTTAAGTACTCTTTGAAGCATTCTTTGGAAACGAGAATATCTTCACCTAAAACCTAGACAGAAGCATTCTCAGAAACATCTTTGTGATGTGTCCATTCATCTCACAGAGTTGATAGAACAGTTTTGATAGAGCAGTTTTGAAACACTCTTTTTAAAGAATCTGCCAATTCATATGTGCAGTGCTTTGAGGCTTATGGTAGAAAAGGAAATATCTTCATATAAAAAGTAGACAGAAGCATTCTCAGAAACGACTTTGTGATGTGTGCATTCTACACACAAAGTTGAAACTTTCTTTTGATAGAGCAGTTTTGAAACAGTCTTTCCGAAGAATCTTCAAGTGGGCATTTCGAGGGCTTTGAGGACCATTGCAGATAAGGAAATATCGTCACATAAGAAGTAGACAGAAGTATAATCAGAAACTTCATTTTGATGTGTACATTCAACTCACAAAGCAGACCCTTACTTTTGATAGAGAAGTTTTGAAACACTCTTCTTGTAGAATCTGCAATTGGATATTTGGAGTGCTTTCAGGCCTCTGGTAGAAAAGGAAGTATCTTCACGTAAAAACTAGACAGAAGCATTCTCAGAAACGACTTTGTGATGGGTGTATTCTACTCCCATAGTTGAACATTTCTTTTGATAGAGCCGCCTGGAAACAATCTTCTTGTAGAATCTGCAAGTGGACATTTGGAGCGTTTCGAAGGCTGTGGTTGAAAAGGTAATATCTTCACCTAAAAACTAAATGGAAGCATTCTCCGAAACTTTTTGTGATGTGTGCGTTCAACTCACAGAGCTGAACCTTCCTTTTCTTAGACCAGTTTTGAATCACTCTTTTTGTAGAATCCGCATTTAGATATTTGGAGCGCTTTGAAGACTTCATTGGAATCGCGAATACCTTCACATAAAAACTAGACAGAACCATTCTCAGAAACTCCTTTGAGATGTGTGCATTCAACTCACAGAGCTGAACCTTTCTTTTGATAGTGCAGTTTTGAAACATTCTTTTTAAAAAATCTGCAGTTGGACATTTGGAGCTCTTTTAGGCTATCGGTTGAAAAGGAAGTATCTTCACATTAAAACAAGACAGAAGCATTCTCAGAAACTCCTTTATGATGTCTGCATTCAACTCACAGAGTTGAACCTTCCTTTTCATAGAGCAGTTTTGAAACACTCTTTCTGTAGAATCTGGAGGCGGATATAAGGGTGCTTTGAAGCCTTCTTGGGAAACAGGATTATCTTCACATAAAAATTAGACAGAAGCATTCTCAGAAACTTCTTTGTGATGTGTGCATTCAACTCACAGCGTTGAAACTTCCTTTTGCTAGAGCAGTTTTGAAACCCTCTTTTTGAAGAATCTGAAAGTGCATAATTGCAGCACTTTGAGGCTTAAGGTAGAAAAGGAAATATCTTCATATAAAAACTAGACAGAAGCATTCTCAGAAACTACTTTGTGATGTGTGCATTCTACTCACATAGTTGAAATTTCCTTCTGATACTGCAGTTTTGAAACCGTCTTTTTGAGGAATCTTCCAGTGGGCATTTTGAGGGCTTTGGGGACTATCGTGGATAAGGAAATATCTTCACATGAAAAGTAGACAGAAGTGTTCTCAGAAACTTCATTTTGATGGGTGCATTCAACTAACAAAGTACAACCTTACTTTTATAGAGCAGTTTTGAAACAGTCTTTTTGTAGACTCTGCAAGTGGATATTTGGAGCGCTTTGAAGCCTTCGTTGGAAACGGGAATATCTTCCCCTTGAAACTAGACAGAAGCATTCTCAGAAACTTCTTTGTGATGTGGGCATTGAACTCACGGAGCTGAACCTTCCTTTGGATTGAGCAGTTTAGAAAAACTCTTCCTTTATAATCTGCAGGTGGATATTTGGAGTGCTTTGAAGCCTTCTTTGGAAACGGGAGTATCGTCACATAAAAATAGACAGAAGTATTCCCAGAAACTTCTTTGTGATTTGTGCATTCAACTCACAGAGTTGAAGCTTCTTTTTGATAGAGCAGTTTTGAAACACCCTTTTTGCACAATCTGCAGGAGGATATTTGGAGCTCTTTGAGTGCTACATTGGAAACGGGAATATCGTCACCTGAAAACTAGAAAGAAGCATTCTCTGAAACCACTTTGTGATGTGTGCATTCATCTCACAGATTTGAACCTTCCTTTTGATAGAGCAGTTTTGAAACCCTCTTTTTGTACAATCTGCAAGTGGATATTTGGAGCAAATTGAAGCCTTCCTTGGAAATGGGAATATCTTAAATCTAAAAATTAGGCAGAAGCATTCTCAGAAACTACTTTGTGATGTGTGCATTCAACTCACAGAATTGAACCTTCCTTTTGATACAGCAGTTTTGAAACACTCTTTGTTTAGAATCTGCAAGTGGATATTTGGAGCACATTTATGCCTGTGGTAGAAAAGGAAATATCTTCACATAAAAACTAGACAGAAGCATTCTCAGAAACGAATTTGTGATGTGTGCATTCTACTCCCATAGTTGAAAATTTCTTTTGGTAGAGCAGTCTGGAAACACTCTGTTTGTAAAATCTGCAAATGGACATTTGGAGCGCTTTGAAGGTTATGGTGGAAGAGGGAATATCTTCGCATTAAAACTAGACAGAAGCATTCTCAGAAACTTCTTTGTGATGTGTGCATTCAACTCCCAGGTTGAATCTTTCTTTTGTTAGAGCAGTTTTGAAACACTCCTTTTGTAGAATCTGCAGGCGGATATTTAAGTACTCTTTGAAGCATTCTTTGGAAACGAGAATATCTTCACCTAAAACCTAGACAGAAGCATTCTCAGAAACATCTTTGTGATGTGTCCATTCATCTCACAGAGTTGATAGAACAGTTTTGATAGAGCAGTTTTGATACACTCTTTTTAAAGGATCTGCCTGTTCATATGTGCAGTGCTTTGAGGCTTATGGTAGAAAAGGAAATATCTTCATATAAAAACTAGACAGAAGCATTCTCAGAAACGACTTTGTGATGTGTGCATTCTACACACAAAGTTGAAACTTTCTTTTGATAGAGTAGTTTTGAAATCGTCTTTCCGAAGAATCTTCAAGTGGGCATTTCGAGGGCTTTGAGGACCATTGCGGATAAGGAAATATCTTCCCATAAGAAGTAGACAGAAGTATAATCAGAAACTTCATTTTGATGTGTACATTCAACTCACAAAGCAGACCTTAACTTTTGATAGAGAAGTTTTGAAACACTCTTTTTGTAGAATCTGCAATTGGATGTTTGGAGCGCTTTCAGGCCTCTGGTAGAAAAGGAAATATCTTCACATAAAAACTAGACAGAAGCATTCTCAGAAACGACTTTGTGATGTGTGTATTCTACTCCCATAGTTGAACATTTCTTTTGATAGAGCCGCCTGGAAACAATCTTCTTGTAGAATCTGCAAGTGGACATTTGGAGCGTTTCGAAGGCTGTGGTTGAAAAGGTAATATCTTCACCTAAAAACTAAATGGAAGCATTGTCCGAAACTTTTTGTGATGTGTGCGTTCAACTCACAGAGCTGAACCTTCCTTTTCATAGACCAGTTTTGAATCACTCTTTTTGTAGAATCCGCATTTAGATATTTGCAGCGCTTTGAAGACTTCATCGGAATCGCGAATACCTTCACATAAAAACTAGACAGAACCATTCTCAGAAACTTCTTTGAGATGTGTGCATTCAACTCACAGAGCTGAACCTTTCTTTTGATAGTGCAGTTTTGAAACATTCTTTTTAAAAAATCTGCAGTTGGACATTTGGAGCTCTTTTAGGCTATCGGTTGAAAAGGAAATATCTTCACATTAAAACAAGACAGAAGCATTCTCAGAAACTCCTTTATGATGTCTGCATTCAACTCACAGAGTTGAACCTTCCTTTTGATAGAGCAGTTTTGAAACACTCTTTCTGTAGAATCTGGAGGCGGATATTAGGGTGCTTTGAAGCCTTCTTGGGAAACAGGATTATCTTCACATAAAAATTAGACAGAAGCATTCTCAGAAACTTCTTTGTGATGTGTGCATTCAACTCACAGCGTTGAAACTTCCTTTTGCCAGAGCAGTTTTGAAACCCTCTTTTTGAAGAATCTGAAAGTGCATAATTGCAGCACTTTGAGGCTTAAGGTCGAAAAGGAAATATCTTCATATAAAAACTAGACAGAAGCATTCTCAGAAACTACTTTGTGATGTGTGCATTCTACTCACATAGTTGAAATTTCCTTCTGATGCTGCAGTTTTGAAACAGTCTTTTTGAGGGATCTTCAAGTGGGCATTTTGAGGGCTTTGGGGACTATTGTGGATAAGGAAATATCTTCACATGAAAAGTAGACAGAAGTGTTCTCAGAAACTTCATTTTGATGGGTGCATTCAACTAACAAAGTACAACCTTACTTTTATAGAGCAGTTTTGAAACAGTCTTTTTGTAGACTCTGCAAGTGGATATTTGGAGCGCTTTGAAGCCTTCGTTGGAAACGGGAATATCTTCCCCTTGAAACTAGACAGAAGCATTCTCAGAAACTTCTTTGTGATGTGGGCATTGAACTCACGGAGCTGAACCTTCCTTTGGATTGAGCAGTTTTGAAAAACTCTTCCTTTATAATCTGCAGGTGGATATTTGGAGTGCTTTGAAGCCTTCTTTGGAAACGGGAGTATCGTCACATAAAAATAGACAGAAGTATTCCCAGAAACTTCTTTGTGATTTGTGCATTCAACTTACAGAGTTGAAGCTTCTTTTTGATAGAGCAGTTTTGAAACACCCTTTTTGCACAATCTGCAGGAGGATATTTGGAGCTCTTTGAGTGCTACATTGGAAACGGGAATATCGTCACCTGAAAACTAGAAACAAGCATTCTCTGAAACCACTTTGTGATGTGTGCATTCATCTCACAGAGTTGAACCTTCCTTTTGATAGAGCAGTTTTGAAACCCTCTTTTTGTACAATCTGCAAGTGGATATTTGGAGCAAATTGAAGCCTTCTTTGGAAATGGGAATATCTTAAATCTAAAAATTAGGCAGAAGCATTCTCAGAAACTACTTTGTGATGTGTGCATTCAACTCACAGAATTGAACCTTCCTTTTGATACAGCAGTTTTGAAACACTCTTTTTTCAGAATCTGCAAGTGGATATTTGGAGCACATTTATGCCTGTGGTAGAAAAGGAAATATCTTCACATAAAAACTAGACAGAAGCATTCTCAGAAACGAATTTGTGTTGTGTGCATTCTACTCCCATAGTTGAAAATTTCTTTTGATAGAGCAGTCTGGAAACACTCTGTTTCTAAAATCTGCAAATGGACATTTGGAGCGCTTTGAAGGTTATGATGGAAAAGGGAATATCTTCGCATTAAAACTAGACAGAAGCATTCTCAGAAACTTCTTTGTGATGTGTGCATTCAACTCCCAGGTTGAACCTTTCTTTTGTTAGAGCAGTTTTGAAACACTCCTTTTGTAGAATCTGCAGGCGGATATTTAAGTACTATTTGAAGCATTCTTTGGAAACGAGAATATCTTCACCTAAAACCTAGACAGAAGCATTCTCAGAAACATCTTTGTGATGTGTCCATTCATCTCACAGAGTTGATAGGACAGTTTTGATAGAGCAGTTTTGAAACACTCTTTTTAAAGAATCTGCCCGTTCATATGTGCAGTGCTTTGAGGCTTATGGTAGAAAAGGAAATATCTTCATATAAAAACTAGACAGAAGCATTCTCAGAAACGACATTGTGATGTGTGCATTCTACACACAAAGTTGAAACTTTCTTTTGATAGAGCAGTTTTGAAACAGTCTTTCCGAAGAATCTTCAAGTGGGCATTTCGAGGGCTTTGAGGACCATTGCGGATAAGGAAATATCTTCCCATAAGAAGTAGACAGAAGTATAATCAGAAACTTCATTTTGATGTGTACATTCAACTCACAAAGCAGACCCTTACTTTTGATAGAGAAGTTTTGAAACACTCTTTCTGTAGAATCTGCAATTGGATATTTGGAGCGCTTTCAGGCCTCTGGTAGAAAAGGAAATATCTTCACATAAAAACTAGACAGAAGCATTCTCAGAAACGACTTTGTGATGTGTGTATTCTACTCCCATAGTTGAACATTTCTTTTGATAGAGCCGCCTGGAAACAATCTTCTTGTAGAATCTGCAAGTGGACATTTGGAGCGTTTCGAAGGCTGTGGTTGAAAAGGTAATATCTTCACCTAAAAACTAAATGGAAGCATTGTCCGAAACTTTTTGTGATGTGTGCGTTCAACTCACAGAGCTGAACCTTCCTTTTCATAGACCAGTTTTGAATCACTCTTTTTGTAGAATCCGCATTTAGATATTTGGAGCGCTTTGAAGACTTCATTGGAATCGCGAATACCTTCACATAAAAACTAGACAGAACCATTCTCAGAAACTCCTTTGAGATGTGTGCATTCAACTCACAGAGCTGAACCTTTCTTTTGATAGTGCAGTTTTGAAACATTCTTTTTAAAAAATCTGCAATTGGACATTTGGAGCTCTTTTAGGCTATCGGTTGAAAAGGAAGTATCTTCACATTAAAACAAGACAGAAGCATTCTCCGAAACTCCTTTATGATGTCTGCATTCAACTCACAGAGTTGAACCTTCCTTTTGATAGAGCAGTTTTGAAACACTCTTTCTGTAGAATCTGGAGGAGGATATTAGGGTGCTTTGAAGCCTTCTTGGGAAACAGGATTATCTTCACATAAAAATTAGACAGAAGCATTCTCAGAAACTTCTTTGTGATGTGTGCATTCAACTCACAGCGTTGAAACTTCCTTTTGCTAGAGCAGTTTTGAAACCCTCTTTTTGAAGAATCTGAAAGTGCATAATTGCAGCACTTTGAGGCTTAAGGTAGAAAAGGATATATCTTCATATAAAAACTAGACAGAAGCATTCTCAGAAACTACTTTGTGATGTGTGCATTCTACTCACATAGTTGAAATTTCCTTCTGATACTGCAGTATTGAAACCGTCTTTTTGAGGAATGTTCGAGTGGGCATTTTGAGGGCTTTGGGGACTATCGTGGATAAGGAAATATCTTCACATGAAAAGTAGACAGAAGTGTTCTCAGAAACTTCATTTTGATGGGTGCATTCAACTAACAAAGTACAACCTTACTTTTATAGAGCAGTTTTGAAACAGTCTTTTTGTAGACTCTGCAAGTGGATATTTGGAGCGCTTTGAAGCCTTCGTTTGAAACGGGAATATCTTCCCATTGAAACTAGACAGAAGCATTCTCAGAAACTTCTTTGTGATGTGGGCATTGAACTCACGGAGCTGAACCTTCCTTTGGATTGAGCAGTTTTGAAAAACTCTTCCTTTATAATCTGCAGGTGGATATTTGGAGTGCTTTGAAGCCTTCTTTGGAAACGGGAGTATCGTCACATAAAAATAGACAGAAGTATTCCCAGAAACTTCTTTGTGATTTGTGCATTCAACTCACAGAGTTGAAGCTTCTTTTTGATAGAGCAGTTTTGAAACACCCTTTTTGCACAATCTGCAGGAGGATATTTGGAGCTCTTTGAGTGCTACATTGGAAAAGGGAATATCGTCACCTGAAAACTAGAAAGAAGCATTCTCTGAAACCACTTTGTGATGTGTGCATTCATCTCACAGAGTTGAACCTTCCTTTTGATAGAGCAGTTTTGAAACCCTCTTTTTGTACAATCTGCAAGTGGATATTTGGAGCAAATTGAAGCCTTCTTTGGAAATGGGAAATCTTAAATCTAAAAATTAGGCAGAAGCATTCTCAGAAACTACTTTGTGATGTGTGCATTCAACTCACAGAATTGAACCTTCCTTTTGATAGAGCAGTTTTGAAACACTCTTTTTTTAGAATCTGCCAGTGGATATTTGGAGCACATTTATGCCTATGGTAGAAAAGGAAATATCTTCACATAAAAACTAGACAGAAGCATTCTCAGAAACGAATTTGTGATGTGTGCATTCTACTCCCATAGTTGAAAATTTCTTTTGGTAGAGCAGTCTGGAAACACTCTGTTTGTAAAATCTGCAAATGGACATTTGGAGCGCTTTGAAGGTTATGGTGGAGGAGGGAATATCTTCGCATTAAAACTAGACAGAAGCATTCTCAGAAACTTCTTTGTGATGTGTGCATTCAACTCCCAGGTTGAACCTTTCTTTTGTTAGAGCAGTTTTGAAACACTCCTTTTGTAGAATCTGCAGGCGGATATTTAAGTACTCTTTGAAGCATTCTTTGGAAACGAGAATATCTTCACCTAAAACCTAGACAGAAGCGTTCTCAGGAACGTCTTTGTGATGTGTCCACTCAACTCACAGAGTTGATAGAACAGTTTTGAAAGAGCAGTTTTGAAACACTCTTTTTGAAGAATCTGCCAGTTCATATGTGCAGTGCTTTGAGGCTTATGGTAGAAATGGAAATATCTTCATATAAAAACTAGACAGAAGCATTCTCAGAAACGACTTTGTGATGTGTGCATTCTACACACAAAGTTGAAACTTTCTTTTGATAGAGCAGTTTTGAAACCGTCTTTCCGAAGAATCTTCAAGTGGGCATTTCGAGGGCTTTGAGGACCATTGCGGATAAGGAAATATCTTCCCATAAGAAGTAGACAGAAGTATAATCAGAAACTTCATTTTGATGTGTA
This sequence comes from Homo sapiens, assembly GCF_000001405.40. Taxonomy (NCBI): domain Eukaryota; kingdom Metazoa; phylum Chordata; class Mammalia; order Primates; family Hominidae; genus Homo; species Homo sapiens. The sequence goes on from NC_000007.14 coordinate 61,480,707, forward strand.
CATTCAACTCACAAAGCAGACCCTTACTTTTGATAGAGAAGTTTTGAAACACTCTTCTTGTAGAATCTGCAATTGGATATTTGGAGCGCTTTCAGGCCTCTGGTAGAAAAGGAAGTATCTTCACGTAAAAACTAGACAGAAGCATTCTCAGAAACGACTTTGTGATGTGTGTATTCTACTCCCATAGTTGAACATTTCTTTTGATAGAGCAGCCTGGAAACAATCTTCTTGTAGAATCTGCAAGTGGACATTTGGAGCGTCTTGAAGGCTGTGGTTGAAAAGGTAACATCTTCACCTAAAAACTAAATGGAAGCATTCTCAGAAACTTTCTGTGATGTGTGCGTTCAACTCACAGAGCTGAACCTTCCTTTTTATAGACCAGTTTTGAATCACTCTTTTTGTAGGATCCGCATTTAGATATTTGGAGCGCTTTGAAGACTTCATTGGAATCGCGAATATCTTCACATAAAAACTAGACAGAACCATTCTCAGAAACTTCTTTGAGATGTGTGCATTCAACTCACAGAGCTGAACCTTTCTTTTGATAGTGCAGTTTTGAAACATTCTTTTTAAAAAATCTGCAGTTGGACATTTGGAGCTCTTTTAGGCTATCGGTTGAAAAGGAAATATCTTCACATTAAAACAAGACAGAAGCATTCTCAGAAACTCCTTTATGATGTCTGCATTCAACTCACAGAGTTGAACCTTCCTTTTGATAGAGCAGTTTTGAAACACTCTTTCTGTAGAATCTGGAGGCGGATATTAGGGTGCTTTGAAGCCTTCTTGGGAAACAGGATTATCTTCACATAAAAATTAGACAGAAGCATTCTCAGAAACTTCTTTGTGATGTGTGCATTCAACTCACAGCGTTGAAACTTCCTTTTGCCAGAGCAGTTTTGAAACCCTCTTTTTGAAGAATCTGAAAGTGCATAATTGCAGCACTTTGAGGCTTAAGGTCGAAAAGGAAATATCTTCATATAAAAACTAGACAGAAGCATTCTCAGAAACTACTTTGTGATGTGTGCATTCTACTCACATAGTTGAAATTTCCTACTGATACTGCAGTTTTGAAACCGTCTTTTTGAGGGATCTGCAAGTGGGCATTTTGAGGGCTTTGGGGACTATTGTGGATAAGGAAATATCTTCACATGAAAAGTAGACAGAAGTGTTCTCAGAAACTTCATTTTGATGGGTGCATTCCACTAACAAAGTACAACCTTACTTTTATAGAGCAGTTTTGAAACAGTCTTTTTGTAGACTCTGCAAGTGGATATTTGGAGCGCTTTGAAGCCTTCGTTGGAAACGGGAATATCTTCCCCTTGAAACCAGACAGAAGCATTCTCAGAAACTTCTTTGTGATGTGGGCATTGAACTCACGGAGCTGAACCTTCCTTTGGATTGAGCAGTTTTGAAAAACTCTTCCTTTATAATCTGCAGGTGGATATTTGGAGTGCTTTGAAGCCTTCTTTGGAAACGGGAGTATCGTCACATAAAAATAGACAGAAGTATTCCCAGAAACTTCATTGTGATTTGTGCATTCAACTCACAGAGTTGAAGCTTCTTTTTGATAGAGCAGTTTTGAAACACCCTTTTTGCACAATCTGCAGGAGGATATTTGGAGCTCTTTGAGTGCTACATTGGAAACGGGAATATCGTCACCTAAAAACTAGAAAGAAGCATTCTCTGAAACCACTTTGTGATGTGTGCATTCATCTCACAGGGTTGAACCTTCCTTTTGATAGAGCAGTTTTGAAACCCTCTTTTTGTACAATCTGCAAGTGGATATTTGGAGCAAATTGAAGCCTTCTTTGGAAATGGGAATATCTTAAATCTAAAAATTAGGCAGAAGCATTCTCAGAAACTACTTTGTGATGTGTGCATTCAACTCACAGAATTGAACCTTCCTTTTGATAGAGCAGTTTTGAAACACTCTTTTTTTAGAATCTGCCAGTGGATATTTGGGATATTTGGAGCACATTTATGCCTATGGTAGAAAAGGAAATATCTTCACATAAAAACTAGACAGAAGCATTCTCAGAAACGAATTTGTGTTGTGTGCATTCTACTCCCATAGTTGAAAATTTCTTTTGATAGAGCAGTCTGGAAACACTCTGTTTGTAAAATCTGCAAATGGACATTTGGAGCACTTTGAAGGTTATGATGGAAAAGGGAATATCTTCGCATTAAAACTAGACAGAAGCATTCTCAGAAACTTCTTTGTGATGTGTGCATTCAACTCCCAGGTTGAACCTTTCTTTTGTTAGAGCAGTTTTGAAACACTCCTTTTGTAGAATCTGCAGGCGGATATTTAAGTACTCTTTGAAGCATTCTTTGGAAACGAGAATATCTTCACCTAAAACCCAGACAGAAGCATTCTCAGAAACGTCTTTGTGATGTGTCCACTCAACTCACAGAGTTGATAGAACAGTTTTGATAGAGGAGTTTTGAAACACTCTTTTTGAAGAATGTGCCAGTTCATATGTGCAGTGCTTTGAGGCTTATGGTAGAAAAGGAAATATCTTCATATAAAAACTAGACAGAAGCATTCTCAGAAACGACTTTGTGATGTGTGCATTCTACACACAAAGTTGAAACTTTCTTTTGATAGAGCAGTTTTGAAACCGTCTTTCCGAAGAATCTTCAAGTGGGCATTTCGAGGGCTTTGAGGACCATTGCGGATAAGGAAATATCTTCCCATAAGAAGTAGACAGAAGTATAATCAGAAACTTCATTTTGATGTGTACATTCAACTCACAAAGCAGACCCTTACTTTTGATAGAGAAGTTTTGAAACACTCTTTTTGTAGAATCTGCAATTGGATATTTGGAGCGCTTTCAGGCTTCTGGTAGAAAAGGAAATATCTTCACATAAAAACTAGACAGAAGCATTCTCAGAAACGACTTTGTGATGTGTGTATTCTACTCCCATCGTTGAACATTTCTTTTGATATAGCCGGCTAGAAACAATCTTCTTGTAGAATCTGCAAGTGGACATTTGGAGCGTTTTGAAGGCTGTGGTTGAAAAGGTAATATCTTCACCTAAAAACTAAATGGAAGCATTCTCCGAAAGTTTTGTGATGTGTGCGTTCAACTCACAGAGCTGAACCTTCCTTTTCTTAGACCAGTTTTGAATCACTCTTTTTGTAGAATCCGCATTTAGATATTTGGAGCGCTTTGAAGACTTCATTGGAATCGCGAATATCTTCACATAAAAACTAGACAGAACCATTCTCAGAAACTCCTTTGTGATGTGTGCATTCAACTCACAGAGCTGAACCTTTCTTTTGATAGTGCAGTTTTGAAACATTCTTTTTAAAATATCTGCAGTTGGACATTTGGAGCTCTTTTAGGCTATCGGTTGAAAAGGAAATATCTTCACATTAAAACAAGACAGAAGCATTCTCAGAAACTCCTTTATGATGTCTGCATTCAACTCACAGAGTTGAACCTTCCTTTTCATAGAGCAGTTTTGAAACACTCTTTCTGTAGAATCTGGAGGCGGATATTAGGGTGCTTTGAAGCCTTCTTGGGAAACAGGATTATCTTCACATAAAAATTAGACAGAAGCATTCTCAGAAACTTCTTTGTGATGTGTGCATTCAACTCACAGCGTTGAAACTTCCTTTTGCCAGAGCAGTTTTGAAACCCTCTTTTTGAAGAATCTGAAAGTGCATAATTGCAGCACTTTGAGGCTTAAGGTCGAAAAGGAAATATCTTCATATAAAAACTAGACAGAAGCATTCTCAGAAACTACTTTGTGATGTGTGCATTCTACTCACATAGTTGAAATTTCCTTCTGATACTGCAGTTTTGAAACAGTCTTTTTGAGGAATCTTCCAGTGGGCATTTTGAGGGCTTTGGGGACTATTGTGGATAAGGAAATATCTTCACATGAAAAGTAGACAGAAGTGTTCTCAGAAACTTCATTTTGAAGGGTGCATTCAACTAACAAGGTACAACCTTACCTTTATAGAGCAGTTTTGAAACAGTCTTTTTGTAGACTCTGCAAGTGGATATTTGGAGCGTTTTGAAGCCTTCGTTGGAAACGGGAATATCTTCCCCTTGAAACTAGACAGAAGCATTCTCAGAAACTTCTTTGTGATGTGGGCATTGAACTCACGGAGCTGAACCTTCCTTTGGATTGAGCAGTTTTGAAAAACTCTTCCTTTATAATCTGCAGGTGGATATTTGGAGTGCTTTGAAGCCTTCTTTGGAAACGGGAGTATCGTCACATAAAAATAGACAGAAGTATTCCCAGAAACTTCTTTGTGATTTGTGCATTCAACTCACAGAGTTGAAGCTTCTTTTTGATAGAGCAGTTTTGAAACACCCTTTTTGCACAATCTGCAGGAGGATATTTGGAGCTCTTTGAGTGCTACATTGGAAACGGGAATATCGTCACCTGAAAACTAGAAAGAAGCATTCTCTGAAACCACTTTGTGATGTGTGCATTCATCTCACAGAGTTGAACCTTCCTTTTGATAGAGCAGTTTAGAAACCCTCTTTTTGTACAATCTGCAAGTGGATATTTGGAGCAAATTGAAGCCTTCTTTGGAAATGGGAAATCTTAAATCTAAAAATTAGGCAGAAGCATTCTCAGAAACTACTTTGTGATGTGTGCATTCAACTCACAGAATTGAACCTTCCTTTTGATGGAGCAGTTTTGAAACACTCTTTTTTTAGAATCTGCAAGCGGATATTTGGAGCACATGTATGCCTACGGTAGAAAAGGAAATATCTTCACATGAAAACTAGACAGAAGCATTCTCAGAAACGAATTTGTGATGTGTGCATTCTACTCCCATAGTTGAAAATTTCTTTTGGTAGAGCAGTCTGGAAACACTCTGTTTGTAAAATCTGCAAATGGACATTTGGAGCGCTTTGAAGGTTATGGTGGAAGAGGGAATATCTTCGCATTAAAACTAGACAGAAGCATTCTCAGAAACTTCTTTGTGATGTGTGCATTCAACTCCCAGGTTGAACCTTTCTTTTGTTAGAGCAGTTTTGAAACACTCCTTTTGTAGAATCTGCAGGCGGATATTTAAGTACTCTTTGAAGCATTCTTTGGAAACGAGAATATCTTCACCTAAAACCTAGACAGAAGCATTCTCAGAGACATCTTTGTGATGTGTCCATTCATCTCACAGAGTTGATAGAACAGTTTTGATAGAGCAGTTTTGAAACACTCTTTTTAAAGAATCTGCCAGTTCATATGTGCAGTGCTTTGAGGCTTATGGTAGAAAAGGAAATATCTTCATATAAAAACTAGACAGAAGCATTCTCAGAAACGACTTTGTGATGTGTGCATTCTACACACAAAGTTGAAACTTTCTTTTGATAGAGCAGTTTTGAAACAGTCTTTCCGAAGAATCTTCAAGTGGGCATTTCGAGGGCTTTGAGGACCATTGTGGATAAGGAAATATCTTCCCATAAGAAGTAGACAGAAGTATAATCAGAAACTTCATTTTGATGTGTACATTCAACTCACAAAGCAGACCCTTACTTTTGATAGAGAAGTTTTGAAACACTCTTTCTGTAGAATCTGCAATTGGATATTTGGAGCGCTTTCAGGCCTCTGGTAGAAAAGGAAATATCTTCACATAAAAACTAGACAGAAGCATTCTCAGAAACGACTTTGTGATGTGTGTATTCTACTCCCATAGTTGAACATTTCTTTTGATAGAGCCGCCTGGAAACAATCTTCTTGTAGAATCTGCAAGTGGACATTTGGAGCGTTTCGAAGGCTGTGGTTGAAAAGGTAATATCTTCACCTAAAAACTAAATGGAAGCATTGTCGGAAACTTTTTGTGATGTGTGCGTTCAACTCACAGAGCTGAACCTTCCTTTTCATAGACCAGTTTTGAATCACTCTTTTTGTAGAATCCGCATTTAGATATTTGGAGCGCTTTGAAGACTTCATTGGAATCGCGAATACCTTCACATAAAAACTAGACAGAAGCATTCTCAGAAACTTCTTCGAGATGTGTGCATTCAACTAACAGAGCTGAACCTTTCTTTTGATAGTGCAGTTTTGAAACATTCTTTTTAAAAAATCTGCAGTTGGACATTTGGAGCTCTTTTAGGCTATCGGTTGAAAAGGAAATATCTTCACATTAAAACAAGACAGAAGCATTCTCAGAAACTCCTTTATGATGTCTGCATTCAACTCACAGAGTTGAACCTTCCTTTTGATAGAGCAGTTTTGAAACACTCTTTCTGTAGAATCTGGAGGCGGATATTAGGGTGCTTTGAAGCCTTCTTGGGAAACAGGATTATCTTCACATAAAAATTAGACAGAAGCATTCTCAGAAACTTCTTTGTGATGTGTGCATTCAACTCACAGCGTTGAAACTTCCTTTTGCTAGAGCAGTTTTGAAACCCTCTTTTTGAAGAATCTGAAAGTGCATAATTGCAGCACTTTGAGGCTTAAGGTAGAAAAGGAAATATCTTCATATAAAAACTAGACAGAAGCATTCTCAGAAACTACTTTGTGATGTGTGCATTCTACTCACATAGTTGAAATTTCCTTCTGATACTGCAGTTTTGAAACCGTCTTTTTGAGGAATCTTCGAGTGGGCATTTTGAGGGCTTTGGGGACTATTGTGGATAAGGAAATATCTTCACATGAAAAGTAGACAGAAGTGTTCTCAGAAACTTCATTTTGATGGGTGCATTCAACTAACAAAGTACAACCTTACTTTTATAGAGCAGATGTGAAACAGTCTTTTTGTAGACTCTGCAAGTGGATATTTGGAGCGCTTTGAAGCCTTCGTTGGAAACGGGAATATCTTCCCATTGAAACTAGACAGAAGCATTCTCAGAAACTTCTTTGTGATGTGGGCATTGAACTCACGGAGCTGAACCTTCCTTTTGATTGAGCAGTTTTGAAAAACTGTTTTTGTAGTATCTGCAGGTGGATATTTGGTGCTCTTTGAATCCTTCATTGGAAACGGGAATATCTTCACATAAAAACTAGAAAGAAGTATTCCCAGAAACTTCTCTGTGATTTGTGCATTCAAGTTACAGAGTTGAAGCTTCTTTTTGATAGAGCAGTTTTGAAACACCCTTTTTGCACAATCTGCAGGAGGATATTTGGAGCTCTTTGAGTGCTACATTGGAAACGGGAATATCGTCACCTGAAAACTAGAAAGAAGCATTCTCTGAAACCACTTTGTGATGTGTGCATTCATCTCACAGAGTTGAACCTTCCTTTTGATAGAGCAGTTTTGAAACCCTCTTTTTGTACACTCTGCAAGTGGATATTTGGAGCAAATTGAAGCCTTCTTTGGAAATGGGAATATCTTAAATCTAAAAATTAGGCAGAAGCATTCTCAGAAACTGCTTTGTGATGTGCGCATTCAACTCACAGAATTGAACCTTCCTTTTGATACAGCAGTTTTGAAACACTCTTTGTTTAGAATCTGCAAGTGGATATTTGGAGCACATTTATGCCTGTGGTAGAAAAGGAAATATCTTCACATAAAAACTAGACAGAAGCATTCTCAGAAAGGAATTTCTGATGTGTGCATTCTACTCCCATAGTTGAAAATTTCTTTTGGTAGAGCAGTCTGGAAACACTCTGTTTGTAATATCTGCAAATGGACATTTGGAGCGCTTTGAAGGTTATGGTGGAGGAGGGAATATCTTCGCATTAAAACTAGACAGAAGCATTCTCAGAAACTTCTTTGTGATGTGTGCATTCAACTCCCAGGTTGAACCTTTCTTTTGTTAGAGCAGTTTTGAAACACTCCTTTTGTAGAATCTGCAGGCGGATATTTAAGTACTCTTTGAAGCATTCTTTGGAAACGAGAATATCTTCACCTAAAACCTAGACAGAAGCATTCTCAGAAACGTCTTTGTGATGTGTCCACTCAACTCACAGAGTTGATAGAACAGTTTTGATAGAGCAGTTTTGAAACACTCTTTTTGAAGAATCTGCCAGTTCATATGTGCAGTGCTTTGAGGCTTATGGTAGAAAAGGAAATATCTTCCTATAAAAACTAGACAGAAGCATTCTCAGAAACGACTTTGTGATGTGTGCATTCTACACACAAAGTGGAAACTTTCTTTTGATAGAGCAGTTTTGAAACAGTCTTTCCGAAGAACCTTCAAGTGGGCATTTCGAGGGCTTTGAGGACCATTGCGGATAAGGAAATATCTTCACATAAGAAGTAGACAGAAGTATAATCAGAAACTTCATTTTGATGTGTACATTCAACTCACAAAGCAGACCCTTACTTTTGATAGAGAAGTTTTGAAACACTCTTTTTGTAGAATCTGCAATTGGATATTTGGAGCGCTTTCAGGCCTCTGGTAGAAAAGGAAATATCTTCACATAAAAACTAGACAGAAGCATTCTCAGAAACGACTTTGTGATGTGTGTATTCTACTCCCATAGTTGAACATTTCTTTTGATAGAGCCGCCTGGAAACAATCTTCTTGTAGAATCTGCAAGTGGACATTTGGAGCGTTTCGAAGGCTGTTGTTGAAAAGGTAATATCTTCACCTAAAAACTAAATGGAAGCATTGTCGGAAACTTTTTGTGATGTGTGCGTTCAACTCACAGAGCTGAACCTTCCTTTTCATAGACCAGTTTTGAATCACTCTTTTTGTAGAATCCGCATTTAGATATTTGGAGCGCTTTGAAGACTTCATTGGAATCGCGAATACCTTCACATAAAAACTAGACAGAACCATTCTCAGAAACTCCTTTGAGATGTGTGCATTCAACTCACAGAGCTGAACCTTTCTTTTGATAGTGCAGTTTTGAAACATTCTTTTTAAAAAATCTGCAGTTGGACATTTGGAGCTCTTTTAGGCTATCGGTTGAAAAGGAAGTATCTTCACATTAAAACAAGACAGAAGCATTCTCACAAACTACTTTATGATGTCTGCATTCAACTCACAGAGTTGAACCTTCCTTTTGATTGAGCAGTTTTGAAACACTCTTTCTGTAGAATCTGGAGGCGGATGTTAGGGTGCTTTGAAGCCTTCTTGGGAAACAGGATTATCTTCACATAAAAATTAGACAGAAGCATTCTCAGAAACTTCTTTGTGATGTGTGCATTCAACTCACAGCGTTGAAACTTCCTTTTGCTAGAGCAGTTTTGAAACCCTCTTTTTGAAGAATCTGAAAGTGCATAATTGCAGCACTTTGAGGCTTAAGGTAGAAAAGGAAATATACTTCATATAAAAACTAGACAGAAGCATTCTCAGAAACTACTTTGTGATGTGTGCATTCTACTCACATAGTTGAAATTTCCTACTGATACTGCAGTTTTGAAACCGTCTTTTTGAGGGATCTGCAAGTGGGCATTTTGAGGGCTTTGGGGACTATTGTGGATAAGGAAATATCTTCACATGAAAAGTAGACAGAAGTGTTCTCAGAAACTTCATTTTGATGGGTGCATTCAACTAACAAGGTACAACCTTACTTTTATTGAGCAGTTTTGAAACAGTCTTTTTGTAGACTCTGCAAGTGGATATTTGGAGCGCTTTGAAGCCTTCGTTGGAAACGGGAATATCTTTCCCTTGAAACTAGACAGAAGCATTCTCAGAAACTTCTTTGTGATGTGGGCATTGAACTCACGGAGCTGAACCTTCCTTTGGATTGAGCAGTTTTGAAAAACTCTTCCTTTATAATCTGCAGGTGGATATTTGGAGTGCTTTGAAGCCTTCTTTGGAAACGGGAGTATCGTCACATAAAAATAGACAGAAGTATTCCCAGAAACTTCTTTGTGATTTGTGCATTCAACTCACAGAGTTGAAGCTTCTTTTTGATAGAGCAGTTTTGAAACACCCTTTTTGCACAATCTGCAGGAGGATATTTGGAGCTCTTTGAGTGCTACATTGGAAACGGGAATATCGTCACCTAAAAACTAGAAAGAAGCATTCTCTGAAACCACTTTGTGATGTGTGCATTCATCTCACAGAGTTGAACCTTCCTTTTGATAGAGCAGTTTTGAAACCCTCTTTTTGTACAATCTGCAAGTGGATATTTGGAGCAAATTGAAGCCTTCTTTGGAAATGGGAATATCTTAAAATTAAAAATTAGGCAGAAGCATTCTCAGAAACTACTTTGTGATGTGTGCATTCAACTCACAGAATTGAACCTTCCTTTTGATACAGCAGTTTTGAAACACTCTTTGTTTAGAATCTGCAAGTGGATATTTGGAGCACATTTATGCCTGTGGTAGAAAAGGAAATATCTTCACATAAAAACTAGACAGAAGCATTCTCAGAAACGAATTTGTGATGTGTGCATTCTACTCCCATAGTTGAAAATTTCTTTTGGTAGAGCAGTCTGGAAACACTCTGTTTGTAAAATCTGCAAATGGACATTTGGAGCGCTTTGAAGGTTATGGTGGAAGAGGGAATATCTTCGCATTAAAACTAGACAGAAGCATTCTCAGAAACTTCTTTGTGATGTGTGCATTCAACTCCCAGGTTGAACTTTTCTTTTGTTAGAGCAGTTTTGAAACACTCCTTTTGTAGAATCTGCAGGCGGATATTTAAGTACTCTTTGAAGCATTCTTTGGAAACGAGAATATCTTCACCTAAAACCTAGACAGAAGCATTCTCAGAAACATCTTTGTGATGTGTCCATTCATCTCAAAGAGTTGATAGAACAGTTTTGATAGAGCAGTTTTGAAACACTCTTTTTAAAGAATCTGCCAGTTCATATGTGCAGTGCTTTGAGGCTTATGGTAGAAAAGGAAATATCTTCCTGTAAAAACTAGACAGAAGCATTCTCAGAAACGACTTTGTGATGTGTGCATTCTACACACAAAGTGGAAACTTTCTTTTGATAGAGCAGTTTTGAAACAGTCTTTCCGAAGAATCTTCAAGTGGGCATTTCGAGGGCTTTGAGGACCATTGCGGATAAGGAAATATCTTCACATAAGAAGTAGACAGAAGTATAATCAGAAACTTCATTTTGATGTGTACATTCAACTCACAAAGCAGACCCTTACTTTTGATAGAGAAGTTTTGAAACACTCTTTTTGTAGAATCTGCAATTCGATGTTTGGAGCGGTTTCAGGCCTCTGGTAGAAAAGGAAATATCTTCACATAAAAACAAGACAGAAGCATTCTCAGAAACGACTTTGTGATGTGTGTATTCTACTCCCATAGTTGAACATTTCTTTTGATAGAGCCGCCTGGAAACAATCTTCTTGTAGAATCTGCAAGTGGACATTTGGAGCGTTTTGAAGGCTGTGGTTGAAAAGGTAATATCTTCACCTAAAAACTAAATGGAAGCATTGTCGGAAACTTTTTGTGATGTGTGCGTTCAACTCACAGAGCTGAACCTTCCTTTTCATAGACCAGTTTTGAATCACTCTTTTTGTAGAATCCGCATTTAGATATTTGGAGCGCTTTGAAGACTTCATTGGAATCGCGAATACCTTCACATAAAAACTAGACAGAACCATTCTCAGAAACTTCTTTGAGATGTGTGCATTCAACTCACGGAGCTGAACCTTTCTTTTGATAGTGCAGTTTTGAAACATTCTTTTTAAAAAATCTGCAGTTGGACATTTGGAGCTCTTTTAGGCTATCGGTTGAAAAGGAAATATCTTCACATTAAAACAAGACGGAAGCATTCTCAGAAACTCCTTTATGATGTCTGCATTCAACTCACAGAGTTGAACCTTCCTTTTGATAGAGCAGTTTTGAAACACTCTTTCTGTAGAATCTGAAGGAAGATATTAGGGTGCTTTGAAGCCTTCTTGGGAAACAGGATTATCTTCACATAAAAATTAGACAGAAGCATTCTCAGAAACTTCTTTGTGATGTGTGCATTCAACTCACAGCGTTGAAACTTCCTTTTGCCAGAGCAGTTTTGAAACCCTCTTTTTGAAGAATCTGAAAGTGCATAATTGCAGCACTTTGAGGCTTAAGGTCGAAAAGGAAATATCTTCATATAAAAACTAGACAGAAGCATTCTCAGAAACTACTTTGTGATGTGTGCATTCTACTCACATAGTTGAAATTTCCTTCTGATACTGCAGTTTTGAAACCGTCCTTTTGAGGAATTTTCGAGTGGGCATTTTCAGGGCTTTGGGGACTATTGTGGATAAGGAAATATCTTCACATGAAAAGTAGACAGAAGTGTTCTCAGAAACTTCATTTTGATGGGTGCATTCAAGTAACAAAGTACAACCTTACTTTTATAAAGCAGTTTTGAAACAGTCTTTTTGTAGACTCTGCAAGTGGATATTTGGAGCGCTTTGAAGCCTTCGTTGGAAACGGGAATATCTTCCCCTTGAAACCAGACAGAAGCATTCTCAGAAACTTCTTTGTGATGTGGGCATTGAACTCACGGAGCTGAACCTTCCTTTGGATTGAGCAGTTTTGAAAAACTCTTCCTTTATAATCTGCAGGTGGATATTTGGAGTGCTTTGAAGCCTTCTTTGGAAACGGGAGTATCGTCACATAAAAATAGACAGAAGTATTCCCAGAAACTTCTTTGTGATTTGTGCATTCAACTCAAGAGTTGAAGCTTCTTTTTGATAGAGCAGTTTTGAAACACCCTTTTTGCACAATCTGCAGGAGGATATTTGGAGCTCTTTGAGTGCTACATTGGAAACGGGAATATCGTCACCTGAAAACTAGAAACAAGCATTCTCTGAAACCACTTTGTGATGTGTGCATTCATCTCACAGAGTTGAACCTTCCTTTTGATAGAGCAGTTTTGAAACCCTCTTTTTGTACAATCTGCAAGTGGATATTTGGAGCAAATTGAAGCCTTCTTTGGAAATGGGAATATCTTAAAATTAAAAATTAGGCAGAAGCATTCTCAGAAACTACTTTGTGATGTGTGCATTCATCTCACAGAATTGAACCTTCCTTTTGATAGAGCAGTTTTGAAACACTCTTTTTTTAGAATCTGCCAGTGGATATTTGGAGCACGTTTATGCCTATGGTAGAAAAGGAAATATCTTCACATAAAAAGTAGACAGAAGCATTCGCAGAAACGAATTTGTGATGTGTGCATTCTACTCCCATAGTTGAAAATTTCTTTTGGTAGAGCAGTCTGGAAACACTCTGTTTGTAAAATCTGCAAATGGACATTTGGAGCGCTTTGAAGGTTATGGTGGAAGAGGGAATATCTTCGCATTAAAACTAGACAGAAGCATTCTCAGAAACTTCTTTGTGATGTGTGCATTCAACTCCCAGGTTGAACCTTTCTTTTGTTAGAGCAGTTTTGAAACACTCCTTTTGTAGAATCTGCAGGCGGATATTTAATTACTATTTGAAGCATTCTTTGGAAATGAGAATATCTTCACCTAAAACCTAGACGGAAGCATTCTCAGAAACGTCTTTGTGATGTGTCCACTCAACTCACAGAGTTGATAGATCAGTTTTGATAGAGCAGTTTTGAAACACTCTTTTTGAAGAATCTGCCAGTTCATATGTGCAGTGCTTTGAGGCTGATGGTAGAAAAGGAAATATCTTCCTATAAAAACTAGACAGAAGCATTCTCAGAAACGACTTTGTGATGTGTGCATTCTACACACAAAGTTGAAACTTTCTTTTGATAGAGCAGTTTTGAAACAGTCTTTCCGAAGAATCTTCAAGTGGGCATTTCGAGGGCTTTGAGGACCATTGCGGATAAGGAAATATCTTCCCATAAGGAGTAGACAGAAGTATAATCAGAAACTTCATTTTGATGTGTACATTCAACTCACAAAGCAGACCCTTACTTTTGATGGAGAAGTTTTGAAACACTCTTCTTGTAGAATCTGCAATTGGATATTTGGAGCGCTTTCAGGCCTCTGGTAGAAAAGGAAGTATCTTCACATAAAAACTAGACAGAAGCATTCTCAGAAACGACTTTGTGATGTGTGTATTCTACTCCCATAGTTGAACATTTCTTTTGATAGAGCCGCCTGGAAACAATCTTCTTGTAGAATCTGCAAGTGGACATTTGGAGCGTTTTGAAGGCTGTGGTTGGAAAGGTAATATCTTCACCCAAAAACTAAATGGAAGCATTCTCCGAAACTTTTTGTGATGTGTGCGTTCAACTCACAGAGCTGAACCTTCCTTTTCTTAGACCAGTTTTGAATCACTCTTTTTGTAGAATCCGCATTTAGATATTTGGAGCGCTTTGAAGACTTCATTGGAATCGCGAATACCTTCACATAAAAACTAGACAGAAGCATTCTCAGAAACTTCTTCGAGATGTGTGCATTCAACTCACAGAGCTGAACCTTTCTTTTGATAGTGCAGTTTTGAAACATTCTTTTTAAAATATCTGCAGTTGGACATTTGGAGCTCTTTTAGGCTATCGGTTGAAAAGGAAATATCTTCACATTAAAACAAGACAGAAGCATTCTCAGAAACTCCTTTATGATGTCTGCATACAACTCACAGAGTTGAACCTTCCTTTTCATAGAGCAGTTTTGAAACACTCTTTCTGTAGAATCTGGAGGCGGATATTAGGGTGCTTTGAAGCCTTCTTGGGAAACAGGATTATCTTCATATAAAAATTAGACAGAAACATTCTCAGAAACTTCTTTGTGATGTGTGCATTCAACTCACAGCGTTGAAACTTCCTTTTGCTAGAGCAGTTTTGAAACCCTCTTTTTGAACAATCTGAAAGTGCATAATTGCAGCACTTTGAGGCTTAAGGTAGAAAAGGAAATATCTTCATATAAAAACTAGACAGAAGCATTCTCAGAAACTACTTTGTGATGTGTGCATTATACTCACATAGTTGAAATTTCCTTCTGATACTGCAGTTTTCAAACCGTCTTTTTGAGCGATCTTCAAGTGGGCATTTTGAGGGCTTTGGGGACTATTGTGGATAAGGAAATATCTTCACATGAAAAGTAGACAGAAGTGTTCTCAGAAACTTCATTTTGATGGGTGCATTCCACTAACAAAGTACAACCTTACTTTTATAGAGCAGTTTTGAAACAGTCTTTTTGTAGACTCTGCAAGTGGATATTTGGAGCGCTTTGAAGCCTTCGTTGGAAACGGGAATATCTTCCCCTTGAAACTAGACAGAAGCATTCTCAGAAACTTCTTTGTGATGTGGGCATTGAACTCACGGAGCTGAACCTTCCTTTGGATTGAGCAGTTTTGAAAAACTCTTCCTTTATAATCTGCAGGTGAATATTTGGAGTGCTTTGAAGCCTTCTTTGGAAACGGGAGTATCGTCACATAAAAATAGACAGAAGTATTCCCAGAAACTTCTTTGTGATTTGTGCATTCAACTCACAGAGTTGAAGCTTCTTTTTGATAGAGCAGTTTTGAAACACCCTTTTTGCACAATCTGCAGGAGGATATTTGGAGCTCTTTGAGTGCTACATTGGAAACGGGAATATCGTCACCTAAAACCTAGAAAGAAGCATTCTCTGAAACCACTTTGTGATGTGTGCATTCATCTCACAGAGTTGAACCTTCCTTTTGATAGAGCAGTTTTGAAACCCTCTTTTTGTACAATCTGCAAGTGGAAATTTGGAGCAAATTGAAGCCTTCTTTGGAAATGGGAATATCTTAAAATTAAAAATTAGGCAGAAGCATTCTCAGAAACTGCTTTGTGATGTGTGCATTCAACTCACAGAATTGAACCTTCCTTTTGATACAGCAGTTTTGAAACACTCTTTTTTCAGAATCTGCAAGTGGATATTTGGAGCACATTTATGCCTGTGGTAGAAAAGGAAATATCTTCACATAAAAACTAGACAGAAGCATTCTCAGAAACGAATTTGTGTTGTGTGCATTCTACTCCCATAGTTGAAAATTTCTTTTGATAGAGCAGTCTGGAAACACTCTGTTTCTAAAATCTGCAAATGGACATTTGGAGCGCTTTGAAGGTTATGATGGAAAAGGGAATATCTTCGCATTAAAACTAGACAGAAGCATTCTCAGAAACTTCTTTGTGATGTGTGCATTCAACTCCCAGGTTGAACCTTTCTTTTGTTAGAGCAGTTTTGAAACACTCCTTTTGTAGAATCTGCAGGCGGATATTTAAGTACTATTTGAAGCATTCTTTGGAAACGAGAATATCTTCACCTAAAACCTAGACAGAAGCATTCTCAGAAAGATCTTTGTGATGTGTCCATTCATCTCACAGAGTTGATAGAACAGTTTTGATAGAGCAGTTTTGAAACACTCTTTTTAAAGAATCTGCCAGTTCATATGTGCAGTGCTTTGGGGCTTATGGTAGAAAAGGAAATATCTTCATATAAAAACTAGACAGAAGCATTCTCAGAAACGACTTTGTGATGTGTGCATTCTACACACAAAGTTGAAACTTTCTTTTGATAGAGCAGTTTTGAAACAGTCTTTCCGAAGAATCTTCAAGTGGGCATTTCGAGGGCTTTGAGGACCATTGCGGATAAGGAAATATCTTCCCATAACAAGTAGACAGAAGTATAATCAGAAACTTCATTTTGATGTGTACATTCAACTCACAAAGCAGACCCTAACTTTTGATAGAGAAGTTTTGAAACACTCTTTTTGTAGAATCTGCAATTGGATGTTTAGAGCGCTTTCAGGCCTCTGGTAGAAAAGGAAATATCTTCACATAAAAACTAGACAGAAGCATTCTCAGAAACGACTTTGTGATGTGTGTATTCTACTCCCATAGTTGAACATTTCTTTTGATAGAGCCGCCTGGAAACAATCTTCTTGTAGAATCTGCAAGTGGACATTTGGAGCATTTCGAAGGCTGTGGTTGAAAAGGTAATATCTTCACCTAAAAACTAAATGGGAGCATTGTCCGAAACTTTTTGTGATGTGTGCGTTCAACTCACAGAGCTGAACCTTCCTTTTCTTAGACCAGTTTTGAATCACTCTTTTTGTAGAATCCGCATTTAGATATTTGGAGCGCTTTGAAGACTTCATTGGAATCGCGAATACCTTCACATAAAAACTAGACAGAACCATTCTCAGAAACCCCTTTGAGATGTGTGCATTCAACTCACAGAGCTGAACCTTTCTTTTGATAATGCAGTTTTGAAACATTCTTTTTAAAAAATCTGCAGTTGGACATTTGGAGCTCTTTTAGGCTATCGGTTGAAAAGGAAGTATCTTCACATTAAAACAAGACAGAAGCATTCTCAGAAACTCCTTTATGATGTCTGCATTCAACTCACAGAGTTGAACCTTCCTTTTGATAGAGCAGTTTTGAAACACTCTTTCTGTAGAATCTGGAGGAGGATATTAGGGTGCTTTGAAGCCTTCTTGGGAAACAGGATTATCTTCACATAAAAATTAGACAGAAGCATTCTCAGAAACTTCTTTGTGATGTGTGCATTCAACTCACAGCGTTGAAACTTCCTTTTGCTAGAGCAGTTTTGAAACCCTCTTTTTGAAGAATCTGAAAGTGCATAATTGCAGCACTTTGAGGCTTAAGGTAGAAAAGGAAATATCTTCATATAAAAACTAGACAGAAGCATTCTCAGAAACTACTTTGTGATGTGTGCATTCTACTCACATAGTTGAAATTTCCTTCTGATACTGCAGTTTTGAAACCGTCTTTTTGAGGAATCTTCGAGTGGGCATTTTGAGGGCTTTGGGGACTATTGTGGATAAGGAAATATCTTCACATGAAAAGTAGATAGAAGTGTTCTCAGAAACTTCATTTTGATGGGTGCATTCCACTAACAAAGTACAACCTTACTTTTATAGAGCAGTTTTGAAACAGTCTTTTTGTAGACTCTGCAAGCGGATATTTGGAGCGCTTTGAAGCCTTCGTTGGAAACGGGAATATCTTCCCCTTGAAACCACACAGAAGCATTCTCAGAAACTTCTTTGTGATGTGGGCATTGAACTCACGGAGCTGAACCTTCCTTTGGATTGAGCAGTTTTGAAAAACTCTTCCTTTATAATCTGCAGGTGGATATTTGGAGTGCTTTGAAGCCTTCTTTGGAAACGGGAGTATCGTCACCTAAAAATAGACAGAAGTATTCTCAGAGACTTCTTTGTGATTTGTGCATTCAACTCACAGAGTTGAAGCTTCTTTTTGATAGAGCAGTTTTGAAACACCCTTTTTGCACAATCTGCAGGAGGATATTTGGAGCTGCTTTGAATGCTACATTGGAAACGGGAATATCGTCACCGAAAAACTAGAAAGAAGCATTCTCTGAAACCACTTTGTGATATGTGCATTCATCTCACAGAGTTGAACCTTCCTTTTGATAGTGCAGTTTTGAAACCCTCTTTTTGTACAATCTGCAAGTGGATATTTGGAGCAAATTGAAGCCTTCTTTGGAAATGGGAATATCTTAAAATTAAAAATTAGGCAGAAGCATTCTCAGAAACTACTTTGTGATGTGTGCATTCAACTCACAGAATTGAACCTTCCTTTTGATACAGCAGTTTTGAAACACTCTTTTTTCAGAATCTGCAAGTGGATATTTGGAGCACATTTATGCCTGTGGTAGAAAAGGAAATATCTTCACATAAAAACTAGACAGAAGCATTCTCAGAAACGAATTTGTGTTGTGTGCATTCTACTCCCATAGTTGAAAATTTCTTTTGATAGAGCAGTCTGGAAACACTCTGTTTCTAAAATCTGCAAATGGACATTTGGAGCGCTTTGAAGGTTATGATGGAAAAGGGAATATCTTCGCATTAAAACTAGACAGAAGCATTCTCAGAAACTTCTTTGTGATGTGTGCATTCAACTCCCAGGTTGAACCTTTCTTTTGTTAGAGCAGTTTTGAGGCACTCCTTTTGTAGAATCTGCAGGCGGATATTTAAGTACTCTTTGAAGCATTCTTTGGAAACGAGAATATCTTCACCTAAAACCTAGACAGAAGCATTCTCAGAAACGTCTTTGTGATGTGTCCACTCAACTCACAGAGTTGATAGAACAGTTTTGATAGAGCAGTTTTGAAACACTCTTTTTGAAGAATCTGCCAGTTCATATGTGCAGTGCTTTGAGGCTTATGGTAGAAAAGGAAATATCTTCCTATAAAAACTAGACAGAAGCATTCTCAGAAACGACTTTGTGATGTGTGCATTCTACACACAAAGTTGAAACTTTCTTTTGATAGAGCAGTTTTGAAGCAGTCTTTCCGAAGAATCTTCAAGTGGACATTTCGAGGGCTTTGAGGACCATTGCGGATAAGGAAATATCTTCCCATAAGAAGTAGACAGAATTATAATCAGAAACTTCATTTTGATGTGTACATTCAACTCACAAAGCAGACCCTTACTTTTGATAGAGAAGTTTTGAAACACTCTTTTTGTAGAATCTGCAATGGGATGTTTGGAGCGCTTTCAGGCCTCTGGTAGAAAAGGAAATATCTTCACATAAAAACTAGACAGAAGCATTCTCAGAAACGACTTTGTGATGTGTGTATTTTACTCCCATAGTTGAACATTTCTTTTGATAGAGCCGCCTGGAAACAATCTTCTTGTCGAATCTGCAAGTGGACATTTGGAGCATTTCGAAGGCTGTGGTTGAAAAAGTAATATCTTCACCTAAAAACTAAATGGGAGCATTGTCCGAAACTTTTTGTGATGTGTGCGTTCAACTCACAGAGCTGAACCTTCCTTTTCTTAGACCAGTTTTGAATCACTCTTTTTGTAGAATCCGCATTTAGATATTTGGAGCGCTTTGAAGACTTCATTGGAATCGCGAATACCTTCACATAAAAACTAGACAGAACCATTCTCAGAAACTTCTTTGAGATGTGTGCATTCAACTCACAGAGCTGAACCTTTCTTTTGATAGTGCAGTTTTGAAACATTCTTTTTAAAAAATCTGCAGTTGGACATTTGGAGCTCTTTTAGGCTATCGGTTGAAAAGGAAATATCTTCACATTAAAAGAAGACAGAAGCATTCTCAGAAACTCCTTTATGATGTCTGCATTCAACTCACAGAGTTGAACCTTCCTTTCCATAGAGCAGTTTTGAAACACTCTTTCTGTAGAATCTGGAGGCGGATATTAGGGTGCTTTGAAGCCTTCTTGGGAAACAGGATTATCTTCACATAAAAATTAGACAGAAGCATTCTCAGAAACTTCTTTGTGATGTGTGCATTCAACTCACAGCGTTGAACCTTCCTTTTGCCAGAGCAGTTTTGAAACCCTCTTTTTGAAGAATCTGAAAGTGCATAATTGTAGCACTTTGAGGCTTAAGGTCGAAAAGGAAATATCTTCATATAAAAACTAGACAGAAGCATTCTCAGAAACTACTTTGTGATGTGTGCATTCTACTCACATAGTTGAAATTTCCTTCTGATACTGCAGTTTTGAAACAGTCTTTTTGAGGGATCTTCAAGTGGGCATTTTGAGGGCTTTGGGGACTATTGTGGATAAGGAAATATCTTCACATGAAAAGTAGACAGAAGTGTTCTCAGAAACTTCATTTTGATGGGTGCATTCAACTAACAAGGTACAACCTTACTTTTATTGAGCAGTTTTGAAACAGTCTTTTTGTAGACTCTGCAAGTGGATATTTGGAGCGCTTTGAAGACTTCGTTGGAAACGGGAATATCTTCCCCTTGAAACTAGACAGAAGCATTCTCAGAAACTTCTTTGTGATGTGGGCATTGAACTCACGGAGCTGAACCTTCCTTTGGATTGAGCAGTTTTGAAAAACTCTTCCTTTATAATCTGCAGGTGGATATTTGGAGTGCTTTGAAGCCTTCTTTGGAAACGGGAGTATCGTCACATAAAAATAGACAGAAGTATTCCCAGAAACTACTTTGTGATTTGTGCATTCAGCTCACAGAGTTGAAGATTCTTTTTGATAGAGCAGTTTTGAAACACCCTTTTTGCACAATCTGCAGGAGGATATTTGGAGCTCTTTGAGTGCTACATTGGAAACGGGAATATCGTCACCTAAAAACTAGAAAGAAGCATTCTCTGAAACCACTTTGTGATGTGTGCATTCATCTCACAGAGTTGAACCTTCCTTTTGATAGAGCAGTTTTGAAACCCTCTTTTTGTACACTCTGCAAGTGGATATTTGGAGCAAATTGAAGCCTTCTTTGGAAATGGGAATAGCTTAAATCTAAAAATTAGGCAGAAGCATTCTCAGAAACTACTTTGTGATGTGTGCATTCAACTCACAGAATTGAACCTTCCTTTTGATACAGCAGTTTTGAAACACTCTTTTTTTAGAATCTGCAAGTGGATATTTGGAGCACATTTATGCCTGTGGTAGAAAAGGAAATATCTTCACATAAAAAATTGACAGAAGCATTCTCAGAAACGAATTTGTGATGTGTGCATTCTACTCCCATAGTCGAAAATTTCTTTTGGTAGAGCAGTCTTTAAACACTCTGTTTGTAAAATCTGCAAATGGACATTTGGAGCGCTTTAAAGGTTATGGTGGAAGAGGGAATATCTTCGCATTAAAACTAGACAGAAGCATTCTCAGAAACTTCTTTGTGATGTGTGCATTCAACTCCCAGGTTGAAACTTTCTTTTGTTAGAGCAGTTTTGAAACACTCCTTTTGTAGAATCTGCAGGCGGATATTTAAGTACTCTTTGAAGCATTCTTTGGAAACGAGAATATCTTCACCTAAAACCTAGACAGAAGCATTCTCAGAAACATCTTTGTGATGTGTCCATTCATCTCACAGAGTTGATAGAACAGTTTTGATAGAGCAGTTTTGAAACACTCTTTTTAAAGAATCTGCCAGTTCATATGTGCAGTGCTTTGAGGCTTATGGTAGAAAAGGAAATATCTTCCTATAAAAACTAGACAGAAGCATTCTCAGAAACGACTTTGTGATGTGTGCATTCTACACACAAAGTTGAAACTTTCCTTTGATAGAGCAGTTTTGAAACAGTCTTTCCGAAGAATCTTCAAGTGGGCATTTCGAGGGCTTTGAGGACCATTGCGGATAAGGAAATATCTTCCCATAAGAAATAGACAGAAGTATAATCAGAAACTTCATTTTGATGTGTACATTCAACTCACAAAGCAGACCCTTACTTTTGATAGAGAAGTTTTGAAACACTCTTGTTGTAGAATCTGCAATTGGATATTTGGAGCGCTTTCAGGCCTCTGGTAGAAAAGGAAATATCTTCACATAAAAACTAGACAGAAGCATTCTCAGAAACGACTTTGTGATGTGTGTATTCTACTCCCATAGGTGAACATTTCTTTTGATAGAGCAGCCTGGAAACAATCTTCTTGTAGAATCTGCAAGTGGACATTTGGAGCGTTTTGAAGGCTGTGGTTGAAAAGGTAACATCCTCACCTAAAAACTAAATGGAAGCATTCTCAGAAACTTTCTGTGATGTGTGCGTTCAACTCACAGAGCTGAACCTTCCTTTTAATAGACCAGTTTTGAATCACTCTTTTTGTAGGATCCGCATTTAGATATTTGGAGCGCTTTGAAGACTTCATTGGAATCGCGAATATCTTCACATAAAAACTAGACAGAACCATTCTCAGAAACTCCTTTGAGATGTGTGCATTCAACTCACAGAGCTGAACCTTTCTTTTGATAGTGCAGTTTTGAAACATTCTTTTTAAAAAATCTGCAGTTGGACATTTGGAGCTCTTTTAGGCTATCGGTAGAAAAGGAAGTATCTTCACATTAAAACAAGACAGAAGCATTCTCAGAAACTCCTTTATGATGTCTGCATTCAACTCACAGAGTTGAACCTTCCTTTTCATAGAGCAGTTTTGAAACACTCTTTCTGTAGAATCTGGAGGCGGATATTAGGGTGCTTTGAAGCCTTCTTGGGAAACAGGATTATCTTCACATAAAAATTAGACAGAAGCATTCTCAGAAACTCCTTTGTGATGTGTGCATTCAACTCACAGCGTTGAAACTTCCTTTTGCTAGAGCAGTTTTGAAACCCTCTTTTTGAAGAATCTGAAAGTGCATAATTGCAGCACTTTGAGGCTTAAGGTAGAAAAGGAAATATCTTCATATAAAAACTAGACAGAAGCATTCTCAGAAACTACTTTGTGATGTGTGCATTCTACTCACATAGTTGAAATTTCCTTCTTATACTGCAGTTTTGAAACCGTCTTTTTGAGGAATCTTCCAGTGGGCATTTTGAGGGCTTTGGGGACTATTGTGGATAAGGAAATATCTTCACATGAAAAGTAGACAGAAGTGTTCTCAGAAACTTCATTTTGATGGGTGCATTCCACTAACAAAGTACAACCTTACTTTTATAGAGCAGTTTTGAAACAGTCTTTTTGTAGACTCTGCAAGTGGATATTTGGAGCGCTTTGAAGCCTTCGTTGGAAACGGGAATATCTTCCCCTTGAAACCAGACAGAAGCATTCTCAGAAACTTCTTTGTGATGTGGGCATTGAACTCACGGAGCTGAACCTTCCTTTGGATTGAGCAGTTTTGAAAAACTCTTCCTTTATAATCTGCAGGTGGATATTTGGAGTGCTTTGAAGCCTTCTTTGGAAACGGGAGTATCGTCACATAAAAATAGACAGAAGTATTCTCAGAGACTTCTTTGTGATTTGTGCATTCAACTCACAGAGTTGAAGCTTCTTTTTGATAGAGCAGTTTTGAAACACCCTTTTTGCACAATCTGCAGGAGGATATTTGGAGCTCTTTGAATGCTACATTGGAAACGGGAATATCGTCACCTAAAAACTAGAAAGAAGCATTCTCTGAAACCACTTTGTGATGTGTGCATTCATCTCACAGAGTTGAACCTTCCTTTTGATAGAGCAGTTTTGAAACCCTCTTTTTGTACCATCTGCAAGTGGATATTTGGAGCAAATTGAAGCCTTCTTTGGAAATGGGAATATCTTAAAATTAAAAATTAGGCAGAAAGCATTCTCAGAAACTACTTTGTGATGTGTGCATTCAACTCACAGAATTGAACCTTCCTTTTGATAGAGCAGTTTTGAAACACTCTTTTTTTAGAATCTGCCAGTGGATATTTGGAGCACGTTTATGCCTATGGTAGAAAAGGAAATATCTTCACATAAAAACTAGACAGAAGCATTCTCAGAAACGAATTTGTGTTGTGTGCATTCTACTCCCATAGTTGAAAATTTCTTTTGATAGAGCAGTCTGGAAACACTCTGTTTCTAAAATCTGCAAATGGACATTTGGAGCGCTTTGAAGGTTATGATGGAAAAGGGAATATCTTCGCATTAAAACTAGACAGAACCATTCTCAGAAACTTCTTTGTGATGTGTGCATTCAACTCCCAGGTTGAACCTTTCTTTTGTTAGTGCAGTTTTGAAACACTCCTTTTGTAGAATCTGCAGGCGGATATTTAAGTACTCTTTGAAGCATTCTTTGGAAACGAGAATATCTTCACCTAAAACCTAGACAGAAGCATTCTCAGAAACGTCTTTGTGATGTGTCCATTCAACTCACAGGGTTGATAGAACAGTTTTGATAGAGCATTTCTGAAACACTCTTTTTGAAGAATCTGCCAGTTCATATTTGCCGTGCTTTGAGGCTTACGGTAGAAAAGGAAATATCTTCCTATAAAAACTAGACAGAAGCATTCTCAGAAACGACTTTGTGATGTGTGCATTCTACACACAAAGTTGAAACTTTCTTTTGATAGAGCAGTTTTGAAACAGTCTTTCCGAAGAATCTTCAAGTGGGCATTTCGAGGGCTTTGAGGACCATTGCGGATAAGGAAATATCTTCACATAAGCAGTAGACAGAAGTATAATCAGAAACTTCATTTTGATGTGTACATTCAACTCACAAAGCAGACCCTTACTTTTGATAGAGAAGTTTTGAAACACTCTTTTTGTAGAATCTGCAATTGGATATTTGGAGCGCTTTCAGGCCTCTGGTAGAAAAGGAAATATCTTCACATAAAAACTAGACAGAAGCATTCTCAGAAACGACTTTGTGATGTGTGTATTCTACTCGCATAGTTGAACATTTCTTTTGATAGAGCAGCCTGGAAACAATCTTCTTGTAGAATCTGCAAGTGGACATTTGGAGCGTCTTGAAGGCTGTGGTTGAAAAGGTAACATCTTCACCTAAAAACTAAATGGAAGCATTCTCCGAAACTTTTTGGGATGTGTACGTTCAACTCACAGAGCTGAACCTTCCTTTTCATAGACCAGTTTTGAATCACTCTTTTTGTAGAATCCGCATTTAGATATTTGGAGCGCTTTGAAGACTTCATTGGAATCGCGAATACCTTCACATAAAAACTAGACAGAACCATTCTCAGAAACTTCTTTGAGATGTGTGCATTCAACTCACAGAGCTGAACCTTTCTTTTGATAGTGCAGTTTTGAAACATTCTTTTTAAAAAATCTGCAGTTGGACATTTGGAGCTCTTTTAGGCTATCGGTTGAAAAGGAAGTATCTTCACATTAAAACAAGACAGAAGCATTCTCAGAAACTCCTTTATGATGTCTGCATTCAACTCACAGAGTTGAACCTTCCTTTTGATAGAGCAGTTTTGAAACACTCTTTCTGTAGAATCTGGAGGCGGATATTAGGGTGCTTTGAAGCCTTCTTGGGAAACAGGATTATCTTCACATAAAAATTAGACAGAAGCATTCTCAGAAACTTCTTTGTGATGTGTGCATTCAACTCATAGCGTTGAAACTTCCTTTTGCTAGAGCAGTTTTGAAACCCTCTTTTTGAAGAATCTGAAAGTGCATAATTGCAGCACTTTGAGGCTTAAGGTAGAAAAGGAAATATCTTCATATAAAAACTAGACAGAAGCATTCTCAGAAACTACTTTGTGATGTGTGCATTCTACTCACATAGTTGAAATTTCCTACTGATACTGCAGTTTTGAAACCGTCTTTTTGAGGGATCTGCAAGTGGGCATTTTGAGGGCTTTGGGGACTATTGTGGATAAGGAAATATCTTCACATGAAAAGTAGACAGAAGTGTTCTCAGAAACTTCATTTTGATGGGTGCATTCAACTAACAAGGTACAACCTTACTTTTATAGAGCAGTTTTGAAACAGTCTTTTTGTAGACTCTGCAAGTGGATATTTGGAGCGCTTTGAAGCCTTCGTTGGAAACGGGAATATCTTCCCCTTGAAACTAGACAGAAGCATTCTCAGAAACTTCTTTGTGATGTGGGCATTGAACTCACGGAGCTGAACCTTCCTTTGGATTGAGCAGTTTTGAAAAACTCTTCCTTTATAATCTGCAGGTGGATATTTGGAGTGCTTTGAAGCCTTTCTTTGGAAACGGGAGTATCGTCACATAAAAATAGACAGAAGTATTCCCAGAAACTTCTTTGTGATTTGTGCATTCAACTCACAGAGTTGAAGCTTCTTTTTGATAGAGCAGTTTTGAAACACCCTTTTTGCACAATCTGCAGGAGGATATTTGGAGCTCTTTGAGTGCTACATTGGAAACGGGAATATCGTCACCTGAAAACTAGAAAGAAGCATTCTCTGAAACCACTTTGTGATGTGTGCATTCATCTCACAGAGTTGAACCTTCCTTTTGATAGAGCAGTTTTGATACCCTCTTTTTGTACAATCTGCAAGTGGATATTTGGAGCAAATTGAAGCCTTCTTTGGAAATGGGAATATCTTAAATCTAAAAATTAGGCAGAAGCATTCTCAGAAACCACTTTGTGATGTGTGCATTCAACTCACCGAATTGAACCTTCCTTTTGATACAGCAGTTTTGAAACACTCTTTGTTTAGAATCTGCAAGTGGATATTTGGAGCACATTTATGCCTGTGGTAGAAAAGGAAATATCTTCACATAAAAACTAGACAGAAGCATTCTCAGAAACGAATTTGTGTTGTGTGCATTCTACTCCCATAGTTGAAAATTTCTTTTGATAGAGCAGTCTGGAAACACTCTGTTTCTAAAATCTGCAAATGGACATTTGGAGCGCTTTGAAGGTTATGATGGAAAAGGGAATATCTTCGCATTAAAACTAGACAGAAGCACTCTCAGAAACTTCTTTGTGATGTGTGCATTCAACTCCCAGGTTGAACCTTTCTTTTGTTAGAGCAGTTTTGAAACACTCCTTTTGTAGAATCTGCAGGCGGATATTTAAGTACTATTTGAAGCATTCTTTGGAAACGAGAACATCTTCACCTAAAACCTAGACAGAAGCATTCTCAGAAACATCTTTGTGATGTGTCCATTCATCTCACAGAGTTGATAGAACAGTTTTGATAGAGCAGTTTTGATACACTCTTTTTAAAGGATCTGCCTGTTCATATGTGCAGTGCTTTGAGGCTTATGGTAGAAAAGGAAATATCTTCATATAAAAACTAGACAGAAGCATTCTCAGAAACGACATTGTGATGTGTGCATTCTACACACAAAGTTGAAACTTTCTTTTGATAGAGCAGTTTTTAAACCGTCTTTCCGAAGAATCTTCAAGTGGGCATTTCGAGGGCTTTGAGGACCATTGCGGATAAGAAATATCTTCCCATAAGAAGTAGACAGAAGTATAATCAGAAACTTCATTTTGATGTGTACATTCAACTCACAAAGCAGACCCTAACTTTTGATAGAGAAGTTTTGAAACACTCTTTTTGTAGAATCTGCAATTGGATGTTTGGAGCGCTTTCAGGCCTCTGGTAGAAAAGGAAATATCTTCACATAAAAACTAGACAGAAGCATTCTCAGAAACGACTTTGTGATGTGTGTATTCTACTCCCATAGTTGAACATTTCTTTTGATAGAGCCGCCTGGAAACAATCTTCTTGTAGAATCTGCAAGTGGACATTTGGAGCGTTTGGAAGGCTGTGGTTGAAAAGGTAATATCTTCACCCAAAAACTAAATGGAAGCATTCTCCGAAACTTTTTGTGATGTGTGCGTTCAACTCACAGAGCTGAACCTTCCTTTTCATAGACCAGTTTTGAATCACTCTTTTTGTAGAATCCGCATTTAGATATTTGGAGCGCTTTGAAGACTTCATTGGAATCGCGAATATCTTCACATAAAAACTAGACAGAACCATTCTCAGAAACTCCTTTGAGATGTGTGCATTCAACTCACAGAGCTGAACCTTTCTTTTGATAGTGCAGTTTTGAAACATTCTTTTTAAAAAATCTGCAGTTGGACATTTGGAGCTCTTTTAGGCTATCGGTTGAAAAGGAAGTATCTTCACATTAAAACAAGACAGAAGCATTCTCAGAAACTCCTTTATGATGTCTGCTTTCAACTCACAGAGTTGAACCTTCCTTTTGATAGAGCAGTTTTGAAACACTCTTTCTGTAGAATCTGGAGGCGGATATTAGGGTGCTTTGAAGCCTTCTGGGGAAACAGGATTATCTTCACATAAAAATTAGACAGAAGCATTCTCAGAAACTTCTTTGTGATGTGTGCATTCAACTCACAGCGTTGAAACTTCCTTTTGCCAGAGCAGTTTTGAAACCCTCTTTTTGAAGAATCTGAAAGTGCATAATTGCAGCACTTTGAGGCTTAAGGTCGAAAAGGAAATATCTTCATATAAAAACTAGACAGAAGCATTCTCAGAAACTACTTTGTGATGTGTGCATTCTACTCACATAGTTGAAATTTCCTTCTGATACTGCAGTTTTGAAACAGTCTTTTTGAGGGATCTTCAAGTGGGCATTTTGAGGGCTTTGGGGACTATTGTGGATAAGGAAATATCTTCACATGAAAAGTAGACAGAAGTGTTCTCAGAAACTTAATTTTGATGGGTGCATTCCACTAACAAAGTAAAACCTTACTTTTATAGAGCAGTTTTGAAACAGTCTTTTTGTAGACTCTGCAAGTGGATATTTGGAGCGCTTTGAAGCCTTCGTTGGAAACGGGAATATCTTCCCCTTGAAACCAGACAGAAGCATTCTCAGAAACTTCTTTGTGATGTGGGCATTGAACTCACGGAGCTGAACCTTCCTTTGGATTGAGCAGTTTTGAAAAACTCTTCCTTTATAATCTGCAGGTGGATATTTGGAGTGCTTTGAAGCCTTCTTTGGAAACGGGAGTATCGTCACATAAAAATAGACAGAAGTATTCCCAGAAACTTCTTTGTGATTTGTGCATTCAACTCACAGAGTTGAAGCTTCTTTTTGATAGAGCAGTTTTGAAACACCCTTTTTGCACAATCTGCAGGAGGATATTTGGAGCTCTTTGAGTGCTACATTGGAAACGGGAATATCATCACCTGAAAACTAGAAACAAGCATTCTCTGAAACCACTTTGGATGTGTGCATTCATCTCACAGAGTTGAACCTTCCTTTTGATAGAGCAGTTTTGAAACCCTCTTTTTGTACCATCTGCAAGTGGATATTTGGAGCAAATTGAAGCCTTCTTTGGAAATGGGAATATCTTAAAATTAAAAATTAGGCAGAAGCATTGTCAGAAACTACTTTTGATGTGTGCATTCAACTCACAGAATTGAACCTTCCTTTTGATGGAGCAGTTTTGAAACACTCTTTTTTTAGAATCTGCAAGCGGATATTTGGAGCACATGTATGCCTACGGTAGAAAAGGAAATATCTTCACATAAAAACTAGACAGAAGCATTCTCAGAAACGAATTTGTGATGTGGGCATTCTACTCCCATAGTTGAAAATTCCTTTTGGTAGAGCAGTCTGGAAACACTCTGTTTGTAAAATCTGCAAATGGACATTTGGAGCGCTTTGAAGGTTATGGTGGAAGAGGGAATATCTTCGCATTAAAACTAGACAGAAGCATTCTCAGAAAGTTGTTTGTGATGTGTGCATTCAACTCCCAGGTTGAACCTTTCTTTTGTTAGAGCAGTTTTGAAACACTCCTTTTGTAGAATCTGCAGGCGGATATTTAATTACTATTTGAAGCATTCTTTGGAAATGAGAATATCTTCACCTAAAACCTAGACAGAAGCATTCTCAGAAACGTCTTTGTGATGTGTCCACTCAACTCACAGAGTTGATAGAACAGTTCTGATAGAGCAGTTTTGAAACACTCTTTTTGAAGAATCTGCCAGTTCATATGTGCAGTGCTTTGAGGCTTATGGTAGAAAAGGAAATATCTTCCTATAAAAACTAGACAGAAGCATTCTCAGAAACGACTTTGTGATGTGTGCATTCTACACACAAAGTGGAAACTTTCTTTTGATAGAGCAGTTTTGAAACAGTCTTTCCGAAGAACCTTCAAGTGGGCATTTCGAGGGCTTTGAGGACCATTGCGGATAAGGGAATATCTTCACATAAGAAGTAGACAGAAGTATAATCAGAAACTTCATTTTGATGTGTACATTCAACTCACAAAGCAGACCCTTACTTTTGATAGAGAAGTTTTGAAACACTCTTTTTGTAGAATCTGCAATTGGATATTTGGAGCGCTTTCAGGCTTCTGGTAGAAAAGGAAATATCTTCACATAAAAACTAGACAGAAGCATTCTCAGAAACGACTTTGTGATGTGTGTATTCTACTCCCATAGTTGAACATTTCTTTTGATAGAGCCGCCTGGAAACAATCTTCTTGTAGAATCTGCAAGTGGACATTTGGAGCGTTTCGAAGGCTGTGGTTGAAAAGGTAATATCTTCACCCAAAAACTAAATGGAAGCATTGTCCGAAACTTTTTGTGATGTGTGCGTTCAACTCACAGAGCTGAACCTTCCTTTTCATAGACCAGTTTTGAATCACTCTTTTTGTAGAATCCGCATTTAGATATTTGGAGCGCTTTGAAGACTTCATTGGAATCACGAATACCTTCACATAAAAACTAGACAGAACCATTCTCAGAAACTTCTTTGAGATGTGTGCATTCAACTCACAGAGCTGAACCTTTCTTTTGATAGTGCAGTTTTGAAACATTCTTCTTAAAAAATCTGCAGTTGGACATTTGGAGCTCTTTTAGGCTATCGGTTGAAAAGGAAATATCTTCACATTAAAACAAGACAGAAGCATTCTCAGAAACTCCTTTATGATGTCTGCATTCAACTCACAGAGTTGAACCTTCCTTTTGATAGAGCAGTTTTGAAACACTCTTTCTGTAGAATCTGGAGGCGGATATTAGGGTGCTTTGAAGCCTTCTTGGGAAACAGGATTATCTTCACATAAAAATTAGACAGAAGCATTCTCAGAAACTTCTTTGTGATGTGTGCATTCAACTCACAGCGTTGAAACTTCCTTTTGCTAGAGCAGTTTTGAAACCCTCTTTTTGAAGAATCTGAAAGTGCATAATTGCAGCACTTTGAGGCTTAAGGTAGAAAAGGAAATATACTTCATATAAAAACTAGACAGAAGCATTCTCAGAAACTACTTTGTGATGTGTGCATTCTACTCACATAGTTGAAATTTCCTTCTGATACTGCAGTTTTGAAACAGTCTTTTTGAGGGATCTTCAAGTGGGCATTTTGAGGGCTTTGGGGACTATTGTGGATAAGGAAATATCTTCACATGAAAAGTAGACAGAAGTGTTCTCAGAAACTTCATTTTGATGGGTGCATTCCACTAACAAAGTACAACCTTACTTTTATAGAGCAGTTTTGAAACAGTCTTTTTGTAGAGTCTGCAAGTGGATAGTTGGAGCGCTTTGAAGCCTTCGTTGGAAACGGGAATATCTTCCCCTTGAAACCAGACAGAAGCATTCTCAGAAACTTCTTTGTGATGTGGGCATTGAACTCACGGAGCTGAACCTTCCTTTGGATTGAGCAGTTTTGAAAAACTCTTCCTTTATAATCTGCAGGTGGATATTTGGAGTGCTTTGAAGCCTTCTTTGGAAACGGGAGTATCGTCACATAAAAATAGACAGAAGTATTCTCAGAGACTTCTTTGTGATATGTGCATTCAACTCACAGAGTTGAAGCTTCTTTTTGATAGAGCAGTTTTGAAACACCCTTTTTGCACAATCTGCAGGAGGATATTTGGAGCTCTTTGAATGCTACATTGGAAACGGGAATATCGTCACCTAAAAACTAGAAAGAAGCATTCTCTGAAACCACTTTGTGATGTGTGCATTCATCTCACAGAGTTGAACCTTCCTTTTGATAGAGCAGTTTTGAAACCCTCTTTTTGTACAATCTGCAAGTGGATATTTGGAGCAAATTGAAGCCTTCTTTGGAAATGGGAATATCTTAAAACTAAAAATTAAGCAGAAGCATTCTCAGAAACTGCTTTGTGATGTGTGCGTTCAACTCACAGAATTGAACCTTCCTTTTGATACAGCAGTTTTGAAACACTCTTTGTTTAGAATCTGCAAGTGGATATTTGGAGCACATTTATGCCTGTGGTAGAAAAGGAAATATCTTCACATAAAAACTAGACAGAAGCATTCTCAGAAACGAATTTGTGTTGTGTGCATTCTACTCCCATAGTTGAAAATTTCTTTTGATAGAGCAGTCTGGAAACACTCTGTTTCTAAAATCTGCAAATGGACATTTGGAGCGCTTTGAAGGTTATGATGGAAAAGGGAATATCTTCGCATTAAAACTAGACAGAAGCATTCTCAGAAACTTCTTTCTGATGTGTGCATTCAACTCCCAGGTTGAAACTTTCTTTTGTTAGAGCAGTTTTGAAACACTCCTTTTGTAGAATCTGCAGGCGGATATTTAAGTACTCTTTGAAGCATTCTTTGGAAACGAGAATATCTTCACCTAAAACCTAGACAGAAGCATTCTCAGAAACATCTTTGTGATGTGTCCATTCATCTCACAGAGTTGATAGAACAGTTTTGATAGAGCAGTTTTGATACACTCTTTTTAAAGGATCTGCCAGTTCATATGTGCAGTGCTTTGAGGCTTATGGTAGAAAAGGAAATATCTTCATATAAAAACTAGACAGAAGCATTCTCAGAAACGACTTTGTGATGTGTGCATTCTACACACAAAGTTGAAACTTTCTTTTGATAGAGCAGTTTTGAAACAGTCTTTCCGAAGAATCTTCAAGTGGGCATTTCGAGGGCTTTGAGGACCATTGCGGATAAGGAAATATCTTCCCATAAGAAGTAGACAGAAGTATAATCAGAAACTTCATTTTGATGTGTACATTCAACTCACAAAGTAGACCCTTACTTTTGATAGAGAAGTTTTGAAACACTCTTTTTGTAGAATCTGCAATTGGATATTTGGAGTGCTTTCAGGCCTCTGGTAGAAAAGGAAATATCTTCACATAAAAACTAGACAGAAGCATTCTCAGAAACGACTTTGTGATGTGTGTATTCTACTCGCATAGTTGAACATTTCTTTTGATAGAGCAGCCAGGAAACAATCTTCTTGTAGAATCTGCAAGTGGACATTTGGAGCGTCTTGAAGGCTGTGGTTGAAAAGGTAACATCTTCACCTAAAAACTAAATGGAAGCATTGTCCGAAACTTTTTGTGATGTGTGCGTTCAACTCACAGAGCTGAACCTTCCTTTCCTTAGACCAGTTTTGAATCACTCTTTTTGTAGAATCCGCATTTAGATATTTGGAGCACTTTGAAGACTTCATTGGAATCGCGAATACCTTCACATAAAAACTAGACAGAAACCATTCTCAGAAACTTCTTTGTGATGTGTGCATTCAACTCACAGAGCTGAACCTTTCTTTTGATAGTGCAGTTTTGAAACATTCTTTTTAAAATATCTGCAGTTGGACATTTGGAGCTCTTTTAGGCTATCGGTTGAAAAGGAAGTATCTTCACATTAAAACAAGACAGAAGCATTCTCAGAAACTCCTTTATGATGTCTGCATACAACTCACAGAGTTGAACCTTCCTTTTCATAGAGCAGTTTTGAAACACTCTTTCTGTAGAATCTGGAGGCGGATATTAGGGTGCTTTGAAGCCTTCTTGGGAAACAGGATTATCTTCACATAAAAATTAGACAGAAGCATTCTCAGAAACTTCTTTGTGATGTGTGCATTCAACTCACAGCGTTGAAACTTCCTTTTGCTAGAGCAGTTTTGAAACCCTCTTTTTGAAGAATCTGAAAGTGCGTAATTGCAGCACTTTGAGGCTTAAGGTAGAAAAGGAAATATCTTCATATAAAAACTAGACAGAAGCATTCTCAGAAACTACTTTGTGATGTGTGCATTCTACTCACATAGTTGAAATTTCCTTCTGATACTGCAGTTTTGAAACCGTCTTTTTGAGGAATCTTCCAGTGGGCATTTTGAGGGCTTTGGGGACTATTGTGGATAAGGAAATATCTTCACATGAAAAGTAGACAGAAGTGTTCTCAGAAACGTCATTTTGATGGGTGCATTCAACTAACAAGGTACAACCTTACTTTTATAGAGCAGTTTTGAAACAGTCTTTTTGTAGACTCTGCAAGTGGATATTTGGAGCGCTTTGAAGCCTTCGTTGGAAACGGGAATATCTTCCCCTTGAAACTAGACAGAAGCATTCTCAGAAACTTCTTTGTGATGTGGGCATTGAACTCACGGAGCTGAACCTTCCTTTGGATTGAGCAGTTTTGAAAAACTCTTCCTTTATAATCTGCAGGTGGATATTTGGAGTGCTTTGAAGCCTTCTTTGGAAACGGGAGTATCGTCACATAAAAATAGACAGAAGTATTCTCAGAGACTTCTTTGTGATTTGTGCATTCAACTCACAGAGTTGAAGCTTCTTTTTGATAGAGCAGTTTTGAAACACCCTTTTTGCACAATCTGCAGGAGGATATTTGGAGCTCTTTGAATGCTACATTGGAAACGGGAATATCGTCACCGAAAAACTAGAAAGAAGCATTCTCTGAAACCACTTTGTGATGTGTGCATTCATCTCACAGAGTTGAACCTTCCTTTTGATAGAGCAGTTTTGAAACCCTCTTTTTGTACAATCTGCAAGTGGATATTTGGAGCAAATTGAAGCCTTCTTAGGAAATGGGAATATCTTAAAATTAAAAATTAGGCAGAAGCATTCTCAGAAACTACTTTGTGATGTGTGCATTCAACTCACAGAATTGAACCTTCCTTTTGATAGAGCAGTTTTGAAACACTCTTTTTTTAGAATCTGCCAGTGGATATTTGGAGCACGTTTATGCCTATGGTAGAAAAGGAAATATCTTCACATAAAAACTAGACAGAAGCATTCTCAGAAACGAATTTGTGTTGTCTGCATTCTACTCCCATAGTGGAAAATTTCTTTTGATAGAGCAGTCTGGAAACACTCTGTTTCTAAAATCTGCAAATGGACATTTGGAGCGCTTTGAAGGTTATGATGGAAAAGGGAATATCTTCGCATTAAAACTAGACAGAAGCATTCTCAGAAACTTCTTTGTGATGTGTGCATTCAACTCCCAGGTTGAACCTTTCTTTTGTTAGAGCAGTTTTGAAACACTCCTTTTGTAGAATCTGCAGGCGGATATTTAAGTACTCTTTGAAGCATTCTTTGGAAACGAGAATATCTTCACCTAAAACCTAGACAGAAGCATTCTCAGAAACATCTTTGTGATGTGTCCATTCATCTCACAGAGTTGATAGAACAGTTTAGATAGAGCAGTTATGAAACACTCTTTTTAAAGAATCTGCCAGTTCATATGTGCAGTGCTTTGAGGCTTATGGTAGAAAAGGAAATATCTTCATATAAAAACTAGACAGAAGCATTCTCAGAAACGACTTTGTGATGTGTGCATTCTACACACAAAGTTGAAACTTTCTTTTGATAGAGCAGTTTTGAAACAGTCTTTCCGAAGAATCTTCAAGTGGGCATTTCGAGGGCTTTGAGGACCATTGCGGATAAGGAAATATCTTCCCATAAGAAGTAGACAGAACTATAATCAGAAACTTCATTTTGATGTGTACATTCAACTCACAAAGCAGACCCTTACTTTTGATAGAGAAGTTTTGAAACACTCTTTTTGTAGAATCTGCAATTGGATGTTTGGAGCGCTTTCAGGCCTCTGGTAGAAAAGGAAATACCTTCACATAAAAACTAGACAGAAGCATTCTCAGAAACGACTTTGTGATGTGTGTATTCTACTCCCATAGTTGAACATTTCTTTTGATAGAGCCGCCTGGAAACAATCTTCTTGTAGAATCTGTAAGTGGACATTTGGAGCGTTTTGAAGGCTGTGGTTGAAAAGGTAATATCTTCACCTAAAAACTAAATGGAAGCATTGTCCGAAACGTTTTGTGATGTGTGCGTTCAACTCACAGAGCTGAACCTTCCTTTTCATAGACCAGTTTTGAATCACTCTTTTTGTAGAATACGCATTTAGATATTTGGAGCGCTTTGAAGACTTCATTGGAATCGCGAATACCTTCACATAAAAACTAGACAGAACCATTCTCAGAAACTTCTTTGAGATGTGTGCATTCAACTCACAGAGCTGAACCTTTCTTTTGATAGTGCAGTTTTCAAACATTCTTTTTAAAAAATCTGCAGTTGGACATTTGGAGCTCTTTTAGGCTATCGGTTGAAAAGGAAATATCTTCACATTAAAACAAGACAGAAGCATTCTCAGAAACTCCTTTATGATGTCTGCATTCAACTCACAGAGTTGAACCTTCCTTTTCATAGAGCAGTTTTGAAACACTCTTTCTGTAGAATCTGGAGGCGGATATTAGGGTGCTTTGAAGCCTTCTTGGGAAACAGGATTATCTTCACATAAAAATTAGACAGAAGCATTCTCAGAAACTTCTTTGTGATGTGTGCATTCAACTCACAGCGTTGAAACTTCCTTTTGCTAGAGCAGTTTTGAAACCCTCTTTTTGAAGAATCTGAAAGTGCATAATTGCAGCACTTTGAGGCTTAAGGTAGAAAAGGAAATATACTTCATATAAAAACTAGACAGAAGCATTCTCAGAAACTACTTTGTGATGTGTGCATTCTACTCACATAGTTGAAATTTCCTTCTGATACTGCAGTATTGAAACCGTCCTTTTGAGGAATCTTCCAGTGGGCATTTTGAGGGCTTTGGGGACTATTGTGGATAAGGAAATATCTTCACATGAAAAGTAGACAGAAGTGTTCTCAGAAACTTCATTTTGATGGGTGCATTCAATTAACGAAGTACAACCTTACTTTTATAGAGCAGTTTTGAAACGGTCTTTTTGTAGACTCTGCAAGTGGATATTTGGAGCGCTTTGAAGCCTTCGTTGGAAACGGGAATATCTTCCCCTTGAAACTAGACAGAAGCATTCTCAGAAACTTCTTTGTGATGTGGGCATTGAACTCACGGAGCTGAACCTTCCTTTGGATTGAGCAGTTTAGAAAAACTCTTCCTTTATAATCTGCAGGTGGATATTTGGAGTGCTTTGAAGCCTTCTTTGGAAACGGGAGTATCGTCACATAAAAATAGACAGAAGTATTCCCAGAAACTTCTTTGTGATTTGTGCATTCAACTCACAGAGTTGAAGCTTCTTTTTGATAGAGCAGTTTTGAAACACCCTTTTTGCACAATCTGCAGGAGGATATTTGGAGCTCTTTGAGTGCTACATTGGAAACGGGAATATCGTCACCTAAAAACTAGAAAGAAGCATTCTCTGAAACCACTTTGTGATGTGTGGATTCATCTCACAGAGTTGAACCTTCCTTTTGATAGAGCAGTTTTGAAACCCTCTTTTTGTACAATCTGCAAGTGGATATTTGGAGCAAATTGAAGCCTTCTTTGGAAATGGGAATATCTTAAATCTAAAAATTAGGCAGAAGCATTCTCAGAAACTAATTTGTGATGTGTGCATTCAACTCACAGAATTGAACCTTCCTTTTGATAGAGCAGTTTTGAAACACTCTTTTTTTAGAATCTGCCAGTGGATATTTGGAGCACGTTTATGCCTATGGTAGAAAAGGAAATATCTTCACATAAAAAGTAGACAGAAGCATTCTCAGAAACGCATTTGTGATGTGTGCATTCTACTCCCATAGTTGAAAATTTCTTTTGATAGAGCAGTCTGGAAACACTCTGTTTGTAAAATCTGCAAATGGACATTTGGAGCGCTTTGAAGGTTATGGTGGAGAAGGGAATATCTTCGCATTAAAACTAGACAGAAGCATTCTCAGAAACTTCTTTGTGATGTGTGCATTCAACTCCCAGGTTGAACCTTTCTTTTGTTAGAGCAGTTTTGAAACACTCCTTTTGTAGAATCTGCAGGCGGATATTTAAGTACTATTTGAAGCATTCTTTGGAAACGAGAATATCTTCACCTAAAACCTAGACAGAAGCATTCTCAGAAACATCTTTGTGATGTGTCCATTCATCTCACAGAGTTGATAGAACAGTTTTGATAGAGCAGTTTTGAAACACTCTTTTTAAAGAATCTGCCAGTTCATATGTGCAGTGCTTTCAGGCTTATGGTAGAAAAGGAAATATCTTCCTATAAAAACTAGACAGAAGCATTCTCAGAAACGACTTTGTGATGTGTGCATTCTACACACAAAGTTGAAACTTTCTTTTGATAGAGCAGTTTTGAAACCGTCTTTCCGAAGAATCTTCAAGTGGGCATTTCGAGGGCTTTGAGGACCATTGCGGATAAGGAAATATCTTCCCATAAGAAGTAGACAGAAGTATAATCAGAAACTTCATTTTGATGTGTACATTCAACTCACAATGCAGACCCTTACTTTTGATAGAGAAGTTTTGAAACACTCTTTTGGTAGAATCTGCAATTGGATGTTTGGAGCGCTTTCAGGCCTCTGGTAGAAAAGGAAATATCTTCACATAAAAACTAGACAGAAGCATTCTCAGAAACGACTTTGTGATGTGTGTATTCTACTCCCATAGTTGAACATTTCTTTTGATAGAGCCGCCTGGAAACAATCTTCTTGTAGAATCTGCAAGTGGACATTTGGAGCGTTTTGAAGGCTGTGGTTGAAAAGGTAATATCTTCACCTAAAAACTAAATGGAAGCATTGTCCGAAACTTTTTGTGATGTGTGCGTTCAACTCACAGAGCTGAACCTTCCTTTTCATAGACCAGTTTTGAATCACTCTTTTTGTAGAATCCGCATTTAGATATTTGGAGCGCTTTGAAGACTTCATTGGAATCGCGAATACCTTCACATAAAAACTAGACAGAACCATTCTCAGAAACTTCTTTGAGATGTGTGCATTCAACTCACAGAGCTGAACCTTTGTTTTGATAGTGCAGTTTTGAAACATTCTTTTTAAAAAATCTGCAGTTGGACATTTGGAGCTCTTTTAGGCTATCGGTTGAAAAGGAAATATCTTCACATTAAAACAAGACAGAAGCATTCTCAGAAACTCCTTTATGATGTCTGCATTCAACTCACAGAGTTGAACCTTCCTTTTGATAGAGCAGTTTTGAAACACTCTTTCTGTAGAATCTAGAGGAGGATATTAGGGTGCTTTGAAGCCTTCTTGGGAAACAGGATTAT
Organism: Homo sapiens; assembly: GCF_000001405.40. Lineage (NCBI taxonomy): Eukaryota > Metazoa > Chordata > Mammalia > Primates > Hominidae > Homo > Homo sapiens. Next base: position 61,519,794 of record NC_000007.14, read on the forward strand.
CTTCACATAAAAATTAGACAGAAGCATTCTCAGAAACTTCTTTGTGATGTGTGTATTCAACTCACAGCGTTGAAACTTCCTTTTGCTAGAGCAGTTTTGAAACCCTCTTTTTGAAGAATCTGAAAGTGCATAATTGCAGCACTTTGAGGCTTAAGGTAGAAAAGGAAATATCTTCATATAAAAACTAGACAGAAGCATTCTCAGAAACTACTTTGTGATGTGTGCATTCTACTCACATAGTTGAAATTTCCTTCTGATACTGCAGTTTTGAAACCGTCTTTTTGAGGAATCTTCGGGTGGGCATTTTGAGGGCTTTGGGGACTATTGTGGATAAGGAAATATCTTCACATGAAAAGTAGACAGAAGTGTTCTCAGAAACTTCATTTTGATGGGTGCATTCCACTAACAAAGTACAACCTTACTTTTATAGAGCAGTTTTGAAACAGTCTTTTTGTAGACTCTGCAAGTGGATATTTGGAGCGCTTTGAAGCCTTCGTTGGAAACGGGAATATCTTCCCCTTGAAACCAGACAGAAGCATTCTCAGAAACTTCTTTGTGATGTGGGCATTGAACTCACGGAGCTGAACCTTCCTTTGGATTGAGCAGTTTTGAAAAACTCTTCCTTTATAATCTGCAGGTGGATATTTGGAGTGCTTTGAAGCCTTCTTTGGAAACGGGAGTATCATCACATAAAAATAGACAGAAGTATTCCCAGAAACTTCTTTGTGATTTGTGCATTCAACTCACAGAGTTGAAGCTTCTTTTTGATAGAGCAGTTTTGAAACACCCTTTTTGCACAATCTGCAGGAGGATATTTGGAGCTCTTTGAGTGCTACATTGGAAACGGGAATATCGTCACCTAAAAACTAGAAAGAAGCATTCTCTGAAACCACTTTGTGATGTGTGCATTCATCTCACAGAGTTGAACCTTCCTGTTGGTAGAGCAGTTTTGAAACCCTCTTTTTGTACAATCTGCAAGTGGATATTTGGAGCAAATTGAAGCCTTCTTTGGAAATGGGAATATCTTAAAACTAAAAATTAGGCAGAAGCATTCTCAGAAACTTCTTTGTGATGTGTGCATTCAACTCACAGAATTGAACCTTCCTTTTGATACAGCAGTTTTGAAACACTCTTTGTTTAGAATCTGCAAGTGGATATTTGGAGCACATTTATGCCTGTGGTAGAAAAGGAAATATCTTCACATAAAAACTAGACAGAAGCATTCTCAGCAAACGAATTTCTGATGTGTGCATTCTACTCCCATAGTTGAAAATTTCTTTTGGTAGAGCAGTCTGGAAACACTCTGTTTGTAATATCTGCAAATGGACATTTGGAGCGCTTTGAAGGTTATGGTGGAGGAGGGAATATCTTCGCATTAAAACTAGACAGAAGCACTCTCAGAAACTTCTTTGTGATGTGTGCATTCAACTCCCAGGTTGAACCTTTCTTTTGTTAGAGCAGTTTTGAAACACTCCTTTTGTAGAATCTGCAGGCGGATATTTAAGTACTATTTGAAGCATTCTTTGGAAACGAGAACATCTTCACCTAAAACCTAGACAGAAGCATTCTCAGAAACGTCTATGTGATGTGTCCACTCAACTCACAGAGTTGATAGAACAGTTTTGATAGAGCAGTTTTGAAACACTCTTTTTGAAGAATCTGCCAGTTCATATGTGCAGTGCTTTGAGGCTTATGGTAGAAAAGGAAATATCTTCCTATAAAAACTAGACAGAAGCATTCTCAGAAACGACTTTGTGATGTGTGCATTCTACACACAAAGTTGAAACTTTCTTTTGATAGAGCAGTTTTGAAACCGTCTTTCCGAAGAATCTTCAAGTGGGCATTTCGAGGGCTTTGAGGACCATTGCGGATAAGGAAATATCTTCCCATAAGAAGTAGACAGAAGTATAATCAGAAACTTCATTTTGATGTGTACATTCAACTCACAAAGCAGACCCTTACTTTTGATAGAGAAGTTTTGAAACACTCTTTTTGTAGAATCTGCAATTGGATGTTTGGAGCGCTTTCAGGCCTCTGGTAGAAAAGGAAATATCTTCACATAAAAACTAGACAGAAGCATTCTCAGAAACGACTTTGTGATGTGTGTATTCTACTCCCATAGTTGAACATTTCTTTTGATAGAGCCGCCTGGAAACAATCTTCTTGTAGAATCTGCAAGTGGACATTTGGAGCGTTTGGAAGGCTGTGGTTGAAAAGGTAATATCTTCACCCAAAAACTAAATGGAAGCATTGTCCGAAACTTTTTGTGATGTGTGCGTTCAACTCACAGAGCTGAACCTTCCTTTTCATAGACCAGTTTTGAATCACTCTTTTTGTAGAATCCGCATTTAGATATTTGGAGCGCTTTGAAGACTTCATTGGAATCGCGAATACCTTCACATAAAAACTAGACAGAAGCATTCTCAGAAACTTCTTTGAGATGTGTGCATTCAACTCACGGAGCTGAACCTTTCTTTTGATAGTGCCGTTTTGAAACATTCTTTTTAAAAAATCTGCAGTTGGACATTTGGAGCTCTTTTAGGCTATCGGTTGAAAAGGAAATATCTTCACATTAAAACAAGACGGAAGCATTCTCAGAAACTCCTTTATGATGTCTGCATTCAACTCACAGAGTTGAACCTTCCTTTTGATAGAGCAGTTTTGAAACACTCTTTCTGTAGAATCTGGAGGAGGATATTAGGGTGCTTTGAAGCCTTCTTGGGAAACAGGATTATCTTCACATAAAAATTAGACAGAAGCATTCTCAGAAACTTCTTTGTGATGTGTGCATTCAACTCACAGCGTTGAAACTTCCTTTTGCCAGAGCAGTTTTGAAACCCTCTTTTTGAAGAATCTGAAAGTGCATAATTGCAGCACTTTGAGGCTTAAGGTCGAAAAGGAAATATCTTCATATAAAAACTAGACAGAAGCATTCTCAGAAACTACTTTGTGATGTGTGCATTCTACTCACATAGTTGAAATTTCCTTCTGATACTGCAGTTTTGAAACAGTCTTTTTGAGGGATCTTCAAGTGGGCATTTTGAGGGCTTTGGGGACTATTGTGGATAAGGAATTATCTTCACATGAAAAGTAGACAGAAGTGTTCTCAGAAACTTCATTTTGATGGGTGCATTCCACTAACAAAGGACAACCTTACTTTTATAGAGCAGTTTTGAAACAGTCTTTTTGTAGACTCTGCAAGTGGATATTTGGAGCGCTTTGAAGCCTTCGTTGGAAACGGGAATATCTTCCCCTTGAAACTAGACAGAAGCATTCTCAGAAACTTCTTTGTGATGTGGGCATTGAACTCACGGAGCTGAACCTTCCTTTGGATTGAGCAGTTTTGAAAAACTCTTCCTTTATAATCTGCAGGTGGATATTTGGAGTGCTTTGAAGCCTTCTTTGGAAACGGGAGTATCGTCACGTAAAAATAGACAGAAGTATTCCCAGAAACTTCTTTGTGATTTGTGCATTCAACTCACAGAGTTGAAGCTTCTTTTTGATAGAGCAGTTTTCAAACACCCTTTTTGCACAATCTGCAGGAGGATATTTGGAGCTCTTTGAGTGCTACTTTGGAAACGGGAATATCGTCACCTGAAAACTAGAAACAAGCATTCTCTGAAACCACTTTGTGATGTGTGCATTCATCTCACAGAGTTGAACCTTCCTTTTGATAGAGCAGTTTTGAAACCCTCTTTTTGTACAATCTGCAAGTGGATATTTGGAGCAAATTGAAGCCTTCTTTGGAAATGGGAATATCTTAAAATTAAAAATTAGGCAGAAGCATTCTCAGAAACTACTTTGTGATGTGTGCATTCAACTCACAGAATTGAACCTTCCTTTTGATAGAGCAGTTTTGAAACACTCTTTTTTTAGAATCTTCCAGTGGATATTTGGAGCACGTTTATGCCTATGGTAGAAAAGGAAATATCTTCACATAAAAACTAGACAGAAGCATTCTCAGAAACGAATTTGTGTTGTGTGCATTCTACTCCCATAGTTGAAAATTTCTTTTGATAGAGCAGTCTGGAACCACTCTGTTTCTAAAATCTGCAAATGGACATTTGGAGCGCTTTGAAGGTTATGATGGAAAAGGGAATATCTTCGCATTAAAACTAGACAGAAGCATTCTCAGAAACTTCTTTGTGATGTGTGCATTCAACTCCCAGGTTGAACCTTTCTTTTGTTAGAGCAGTTTTGAAACACTCCTTTTGTAGAATCTGCAGGCGGATATTTAAGTACTCTTTGAAGCATTCTTTGGAAACGAGAATATCTTCACCTAAAACCTAGACAGAGGCATTCTCAGAAACATCTTTGTGATGTGTCCATTCATCTCACAGAGTTGATAGAACAGTTTTGATAGAGCAGTTTTGAAACACTCTTTTTAAAGAATCTGCCAGTTCATATGTGCAGTGCTTTGAGGCTTATGGTAGAAAAGGAAATATCTTCATATAAAAACTAGACAGAAGCATTCCCAGAAACGACTTTGTGATGTGTGCATTCTACACACAAAGTTGAAACTTTCTTTTGATAGAGCAGTTTTGAAACCGTCTTTCCGAAGAATCTTCAAGTGGGCATTTCGAGGGCTTTGAGGACCATTGAGGATAAGGAAATATCTTCCCATAAGAAGTAGACAGAAGTATAATCAGAAACTTCATTTTGATGTGTACATTCAACTCACAAAGCAGACCCTTACTTTTGATAGAGAAGTTTTGAAACACTCTTTTGGTAGAATCTGCAATTGGATGTTTGGAGCGCTTTCAGGCCTCTGGTAGAAAAGGAAACATCTTCACATAAAAACTAGACAGAAGCATTCTCAGAAACGACTTTGTGATGTGTGTATTCTACTCCCATAGTTGAACATTTCTTTTGAAAGAGCCGCCTGGAAACAATCTTCTTGTAGAATCTGCAAGTGGACATTTGGAGCGTTTCGAAGGCTGTGGTTGAAAAGGTAATATCTTCACCTGAAAACTAAATGGAAGCATTCTCCGAAACTTTTTGTGATGTGTGCATTCAACTCACAGAGCTGAACCTTCCTTTTCTTAGACCAGTTTTGAATCACTCTTTTTGTAGAATCCGCATTTAGATATTTGGAGCGCTTTGAAGACTTCATTGGAATCGCGAATATCTTCACATAAAAACTAGACAGAACCATTCTCAGAAACTTCTTTGAGATGTGTGCATTCAACTCACAGAGCTGAACCTTTCTTTTGATAGTGCAGTTTTGAAACATTCTTTTTAAAAAATCTGCAGTTGGACATTTGGAGCTCTTTTAGGCTATCGGTTGAAAAGGAAGTATCTTCACATTAAAACAAGACAGAAGCATTCTCAGAAACTCCTTTATGATGTCTGCATTCAACTCACAGAGTTGAACCTTCCTTTTGATAGAGCAGTTTTGAAACACTCTTTCTGTAGAATCTGGAGGCGGATATTAGGGTGCTTTGAAGCCTTCTTGGGAAACAGGATTATCTTCACATAAAAATTAGACAGAAGCATTCTCAGAAACTTCTTTGTGATGTGTGCATTCAACTCACAGCGTTGAAACTTCCTTTTGCCAGAGCAGTTTTGAAACCCTCTTTTTGAAGAATCTGAAAGTGCATAATTGCAGCACTTTGAGGCTTAAGGTCGAAAACGAAATATCTTCATATAAAAACTAGACAGAAGCATTCTCAGAAACTACTTTGTGATGTGTGCATTCTACTCACATAGTTGAAATTTCCTTCTGATACTGCAGTTTTGAAACAGTCTTTTTGAGGGATCTTCAAGTGGGCATTTTGAGGGCTTTGGGGACTATTGTGGATAAGGAATTATCTTCACATGAAAAGTAGACAGAAGTGTTCTCAGAAACTTCATTTTGATGGGTGCATTCAAGTAACAAAGTACAACCTTACTTTTATAGAGCAGTTGTGAAACAGTCTTTTTGTAGACTCTGCAAGTGGATATTTGGAGCGCTTTGAAGCCTTCGTTGGAAACGGGAATATCTTCCCCTTGAAACTAGACAGAAGCATTCTCAGAAACTTCTTTGTGATGTGGGCATTGAACTCACGGAGCTGAACCTTCCTTTGGATTGAGCAGTTTTGAAAAACTCTTCCTTTATAATCTGCAGGTGGATATTTGGAGTGCTTTGAAGCCTTCTTTGGAAACGGGAGTATCGTCACCTAAAAATAGACAGAAGTATTCCCAGAAACTTCTTTGTGATTTGTGCATTCAACTCACAGAGTTGAAGCTTCTTTTTGATAGAGCAGTTTTGAAACACCCTTTTTGCACAATCTGCAGGAGGATATTTGGAGCTCTTTGAGTGCTACATTGGAAACGGGAATATCGTCACCTGAAAACTAAAAACAAGCATTCTCTGAAACCACTTTGTGATGTGTGCATTCATCTCACAGAGTTGAACCTTCCTTTTGATAGAGCAGTTTTGAAACCCTCTTTTTGTACAATCTGCAAGTGGATATTTGGAGCAAATTGAAGCCTTCTTTGGAAATGGGAATATCTTAAAATTAAAAATTAGGCAGAAGCATTCTCAGAAACTACTTTGTGATGTGTGCATTCAACTCACAGAATTGAACCTTCCTTTTGATACAGCAGTTTTGAAACACTCTTTTTTCAGAATCTGCAAGTGGATATTTGGAGCACATTTATGCCTGTGGTAGAAAAGGAAATATCTTCACATAAAAACTAGACAGAAGCATTCTCAGAAACGAATTTGTGTTGTGTGCATTCTACTCCCGTAGTTGAAAATTTCTTTTGATAGAGCAGTCTGGAAACACTCTGTTTCTAAAATCTGCAAATGGACATTTGGAGCGCTTTGAAGGTTATGATGGAAAAGGAAATATCCTTCGCATTAAAACTAGACAGAAGCATCCTCAGAAACTTCTTTGTGATGTGTGCATTCAACTCCCAGGTTGAACCTTTCCTTTGTTAGAGCAGTTTTGAAACACTCCTTTTTTTAGAATCTGCAGGCGGATACTTAAGTACTCTTTGAAGCATTCTTTGGAAACGAGAACATCTTCACATAAAACCTAGACAGAAGCGTTCTCAGGAACGTCTTTGTGATGTGTCCACTCAACTCACAGAGTTGATAGAACAGTTTTGATAGAGCAGTTTTGAAACACTCTTTTTGAAGAATCTGCCAGTTCATATGTGCAGTGCTTTGAGGCTTATGGTAGAAATGGAAATATCTTCATATAAAAACTAGACAGAAGCATTCTCAGAAACGACTTTGTGATGTGTGCATTCTACACACAAAGTTGAAACTTTCTTTTGATAGAGCAGTTTTGAAACAGTCTTTCCGAAGAATCTTCAAGTGGGCACTTCGAGGGCTTTGAGGACCATTGCGGATAAGGAAATATCTTCCCATAAGAAGTAGACAGAAGTATAATCAGAAACTTCATTTTGATGTGTACATTCAACTCACAAAGCAGACCCTAACTTTTGATAGAGAAGTTTTGAAACACTCTTTTTGTAGAATCTGCAATTGGATGTTTGGAGCGCTTTCAGGCCTCTGGTAGAAAAGGAAATATCTTCACATAAAAACTAGACAGAAGCATTCTCAGAAACGACTTTGTGATGTGTGTATTCTACTCCCATAGTTGAACATTTCTTTTGATAGAGCCGCCTGGAAACAATCTTCTTGTAGAATCTGCAAGTGGACATTTGGAGCGTTTCGAAGGCTGTGGTTGAAAAGGTAATATCTTCACCTAAAAACTAAATGGAAGCATTCTCCGAAACTTTTTGTGATGTGTGCGTTCAACTCACAGAGCTGAACCTTCCTTTTCATAGACCAGTTTTGAATCACTCTTTTTGTAGAATCCACATTTAGATATTTGGAGCGCTTTGAAGACTTCATTGGAATCGCGAATACCTTCACATAAAAACTAGACAGAACCATTCTCAGAAACTTCTTTGAGATGTGTGCATTCAACTCACAGAGCTGAACCTTTCTTTTGATAGTGCAGTTTTGAAACATTCTTTTTAAAAAATCTGCAGTTGGACATTTGGAGCTCTTTTAGGCTATCGGTTGAAAAGGAAATATCTTCACATTAAAACAAGACAGAAGCATTCTCAGAAACTCCTTTATGATGTCTGCATTCAACTCACAGAGATGAACCTTCCTTTTCATAGAGCAGTTTTGAAACACTCTTTCTGTAGAATCTGGAGGCGGATATTAGGGTGCTTTGAAGCCTTCTTGGGAAACAGGATTATCTTCACATAAAAATTAGACAGA